>NC_000006.12:92756709-92907648 GCF_000001405.40 Homo sapiens | reverse complement strand
TCCACTTGCCATAATAAGGAAGTCAGTTTAGCAAATGGGCACTAGCAGCCCATATAAGATGAAGTGCTATCACAGTGAATAATCACTTTAGGTTTTACAATTAGCTTTATCAAGCCCATTAAATGATTTGTCATTGTCAAATTGTTGTTACCTCCCTTTTCCACTTCAGGAATTTAAACATTCTATAATCTTATGGAGGTAGAAGGCAACCAAAGACATGAAGGATAAACTGACAAAAATATAAGAAGAAAACAAGAAAAACTGAAAGTTTTCATGTTTGGAAGGGTCAAATTAAATGTAAGTTTCGTCATTTGTTCTGTTTTTTCATCTGGGATACAACACTGATAATGCTCTACTGGCTTCATGCATTATTAACTAATTAATTAGTTCCTACACTGTGAACATCTTTGAAATTAAACCTGCCTATGTAAAAGAGCTAAATTTGCAGTTTAAAAGGATAAACCTCTCAGAGCCATTCTTGCATTTGCCTTCATTCTACTATAATTATAGCATTGACATATTTAAATTTGAAGGCTTTTGCACAAATGCTGCTATGAAATATGTAAGCACACATTTTAATATGTCCTATACATATGTACTATACATATTAAATAGACTTAAGTGGGGAACAAGAAATATAGAGAAAAAATGTTATTTTGAACACTCTTACAGAGGAAGGTTATAACAAAACAAAGAAAATGTTGAATACATTGTCATTAAATACATATCCCTCTGATCCTTTGCAAGTGAATGTATACATATAAACACACACGCAAAAATATATCCCTTGGAAATCATTTGAAAACAAGTATCAGGTCTCCCTATTTTATATCCAGGTTTGACTAAAGGTAAGATTTTGACCCGACTACTAGAATTTTAGAACACTATTACCAGGAACTTAATTACCATGTACAGTTATGGCTTTAAAAACAAAGGCAATAAATCCTTGCCTTTAGAGTTACAGGAAATATTTTATTCAGAAAGCCTGTTGTTTATGGAAAACTAGTCTTTCTAATTAACAAAATAACCACAAGCCACATTAACAAAACCACAGAAATGCAGCAAAGAAAATCTGTGTTTCCAATTGCCCTCAGGGTCATCTTCCAGACTTCTCCAAGTAACTATAATTAAGAGGCAATTGACAACTCAACTTCTCGTTGGCTGTTTTTTGATTTGCAAAAGTTATTGAATCAATTAAAAGACCTAACACAAGAGGCAAAATTAAAGGATTCATATAAAAGCAATTCTACCAAATCCTCTTTTAAAAGTTGGCATTTGTGCTATTAAAATTAAAAAGCATATAATAAATTTTATAACTTTATGCATTTTTATCATAAAATTGAATACAGCATTTAAAAGAAAAAATCCTTTCTTCAAAACTGATAACATTGTGGTTACATTTGGTAAACAATTCCTTTTGATTTGTCAACACTTCATGGTTTATACTGTGAGTACTATATGGATTGAAAATATTTTGTCTTCTCTATATCTATATTGCTGGATTGTGAATGGATTATTTTTGTATGTGTCAAATATGTAGCATTCAAACATTAATTTATTCATCCATGCATGCAGCACAAGTTTATTGGGCATCGATTATACAGTAGGTATTTATTATGCTATTTGCCTGGGCTACAGTGTCAAATAAGGAAAAATTCACTGTCTTCAATGTTGTTAAGGCTTAATTTAAGAGAAAAAGAAATCCCTGCGTATAACTAACTGTGGTAATTGTTCTAATTGAGTTTTTGATAAGCTGCTCTGAGGAAAGACTTCTAAATCTAAATAGGTGACCATGGAAAACTAATGCTCAATTTGGGGAAATTAGTAGGTATTATTTAATGACATAAGGGCTGGGGAGAGTGGGCTTTTTTGAACACCCAAACAAAGAAGTGGCACGCAAGCGAGCAATTGCCGAAATAACAAATGACATAATATGTTAAGCAATGGCATTTCAATATTGTCCTGAAAGCTACAGGGAATCACTGAAGGATTTTAAAGTATCTGACAATATGGTCAGATTTGAATGTTTAAAAAGGTCACTCTAGGAGCAGCTTGGAGGATGAGTTATAGGGAAGTCCAGAATGAAAGCAGCGAAAAAAGCAGTTGGAAAAACTGTAAGAATAATCCACTTGACAGGTAATGACTTATAAACTTAGATATTCACAATGGGGAAGAAGAGGAAAGAGATATGACAGATCATAGATAGATATGGAGATAGGTGGTAGGAAGATAGATAGATAGATAGATAGATAGATAGATAGACAGGTTTAAGGCAAGATAAATATTGATTCAGAAATATGAACTTTGAGATGTTTGCAAAACTTCTGAAAAAAAGGCATCTGGTTGTCATTTAGCTATTTGAGGCTGCCCCAAGAGCAAAGATGTACAGATAGTAAAAGCATCAACCCAGGAAGATGATAGATTCTCAAGGGAGCAGATGCCTTTAGTAAGTGACTGATGTCTTCTTGAAGGAGACCCCTGAGAAGTAGTCAGACAGGTAGAAAGTTAAGTTGCAGATGCCAACAGAAGAGGCATTTCCATCTAACGGGATTTCACATAGTAACAAATAAAACCCAAAGAAGCAATTTCGTATTTTCTTCCAAGATACTGAGTCAAAAGTTTTACTTTTTCTATTTTCTGTGACAATCTCACTAGCAAGAATTCTAAAGTAGTAGGTGTTAAAAAGAAGGAAACAAAAATGGCATTGAAAATTTCATAACCTGATCCTGTGGTTTGAATGTTTGTCCCTTCCAAAACACACATGAAATTTATTTCAATGCGTATTTTGAGTATTGGGGGATGGATCTGTTGAGAGGCAATTTAGGCCATAAAGCCTCTACTCTCATGGGTAGGTTTATTGCTTTAATACAAGGGCTTTAGGGATTGGGCTTTCTCTCCTACCTCCCCTACTTTTCTGCTATATGAGGAACAGAGTTTCTCTCCTCTGGAGAATAAAATATTCAAGTGCCATCTTAAGAGCCAAGACCAGGTCCTTACCAGACATCAAACCTGCCAGTGTCTTCATATTTGAGTTCCCAGCCTCCAGAACTGTGAGCTAATAAATATCTGCTCATTATAAATAAACCAGTCTCATTATTGTGTTATAGCAGTACAAAAAGGACCAGAACACCTAATAAATTAGACCATAAAAATACAGCCTGACTGTAAAATTAGAAGTTTTCTTTCTTCAACTTTTATTTTAAGCTCCAAGGTATATGTACAGGTTTGGGTTTGTTACATAGGTAAACGTGTGCTATGATGGTTTTCTGCACAGATCAACCCATCACCTAGGTGTTAAGCCCAGCATTCATTAGCTATTTTTCCTGATGCTCTCCCTTAAGATATTATAGGAAGAAAAATTTCCCTAAAATATGTCAATAGTTTATCAAACACCTTCCTTATACATTTTGCTAGACTAATTCATACAAATAAAAATAATTTATATTATATATAATATGATACCCAGGTAGAATTGCTTTCCTATGCAATTTGAATTAACAAAATCTATTGCATTCAGAATTGTCTGGATTATGTGTAGTTCTATGTAAGAAAGTTGTTATTACAAATCTCTCAGGAGGAAATGTCACTCTCTATTTTAAATGTGTGGCTTCTCTGCTGAGGATTGTGTTATGTGAACAAGTCCCAAGTCTGGAGAGCTGCTGAGCCCCAAGACTCTTCTGAGCCCTGGGAAGACTCTTCTCATTTCTACAAGCAAACTCTAAGCCCCTGATAAATTCAATTCCCCTACCATGTCCCATGGATACTGGCTGGCTGTAGTGAGGGGATCCTTCCTTCCCACCTTCCCACTCTTTGTCTTCCCAAACCATCAGCAGATGAAGCTTTCCCTTCACCTCATTTTTAAAGGTTTTCTTTAGGATACCCTTTACTACAGAGAAACATATAGGTTACAGTAATAATTGCAAACCTCTTGCAATTTACAAATTACAAAGGTTCCAATAACACACATATTCTTTAAAATGATTATAAAGAAAAAGAATACTCTTAGGGCCTGTAATTCTCTGCTATTTTATGCTATATTTTATTCATAAAATCTTTGGTGGACCTGTCTGAACATATCTAATTTTTTCTTTGGAATTTTATCACTTCCCTGGAGATGCTGTGGGGAAGGTTTGCTCTGTTCTGAGGCACTCCTAAGCTGCATTTCAGGAAGGAAGAGAAGCCAAAATAAGTCAAATATCACAAAAACTCAAACCCATACATGGCTCCTGTCTGTCATTAATTGGAGTAAAGTGATCTGTTCTTACTCTAGTTGTCTGCTAGTGAATGAAAGGAAACTCTTGAAGAAAATGCCATCTAGAAGCTCCACAATTCTCATGTGAATCTTTCTCATGAAGAAATTAAAAAAAAATCAGTGGGCTTTCATCCAAGAATGCAAGATTGGATTAAGATTTACAAATCAATGTAATTTAATATACAAAGGAGAAAAATCAAGTTTATTTCAATATATGCGTAAATATTTTTGATAAAATTTAATAACTAATGTAAATAAGTAATCAAAGGGAAAAATTTATGTCATACAGAGTTTTTAAAAAGAATTGCTAGTGAAATTCACACTTACGGATCAGATACTGAAAATTTTACTCTGAGATATACAATGAGGCAAGCATATCCACTGTACTTCTATTTAGCATGTTGGAGGACAGTGAAAAAAAGTAAAAAAGAAGTCATAAGAATTTGAAACAAAAAATAAAACAGTCATTATGTTCCAATGACATTATTGGTAATGTAGAATATAGAAAAAAATATATATATATACTGTTTAGATTTTTGAGTAGGCCAAAACTTCCTAAATTTTATGTTAAGAGCACAATATGGATGAACCAGAAAGGACAAAAAAAATAATGATTAAGAACTTTTGTTTATCAAAAGACATCATTAAATGAAGAAAAAAGCAAGCAACACAGTCGGAGGAGATGTTTGCAACACATAAATGATAAAGCTCAATTATCCAGAATATATAAAAGAATTCTAAAAATTTAGTTATTCAAAGTCATGACTTCCGTTAAGAAATAGGCAAAAGAGTTGGAGAGACCCTTTGAGAAGAGGGCAATACACATAGGAAAAGGCCCATAATCTCATTAGTCACCAGAAGCATGTAAATTAAAACTCCAATTAGGTACCAATACACACACCTGAATGGCTAAACTGGAGGCGGAGATGCTGACAACACCAAATGTTAGGAAAGACATGGAGCAGCTAGAACTCTCAAGCTCTCAGGGAGTGTTAATTTAAAAAAAAAAAATGTTTGCTTAGCTACTAATGTTCTATTTCCATATAGGGCATGTTCACTAAGGTGTTTACTTAGTTAAAAAAAATACGTAGAGTTATGAGTTGTGCACTTTGATGCATATGTTATACCTCAATATAAATTTTAGAGAAAAAATTACAATTGAGAAATTAAGCAGAGAGCATGGCTCTAGCTGAAACTGGAAATTGGTTACAGGAAATCCATTTGGATAGGAAAGTAGGCTCATGAACTTTCAGTCATTCTGCTGAAAGAGGTTCCAAGTCTAGATTACAGTTATGAGAAAATAATAGAAGTGGGAGAGCTCTGTAAGAAATTACAACCAGAAGTATCCACAGACCACATGATTACCTATAAGGAATCCATCAACTCAAGACTGCTTGCTATGGAGGTGGATGCTTTGTGGCATAACACATTCCGAGAAGGAAAACTTTCTATAGGAAAAAACAATTTAGTAGAGGAATGATGAGCATTTCATCTTCTTCCTGTGTAAGTTGTAATTTCCACTGGATTGTCATTTCTAAATGTTAGTACCAGGGGCTAACATTTTTCATATGCTGTGTGAATGAGGGCCACAACGTAATCAGGCAGTGTCAGGAAAGAAGTTATATTTGACTGTTTCTTCAGTTTTCCTCTTCTAGAATGATGTAGGCCTCTAACTAATCTAGTTTTCTATAGCACATCCTTCCTCTCATTAGCTTCGGAAATATGCTTACATGTTTCTATATGAACCAAATACACAAAAACAGCTAAGCAAATGGCTGGGTAGCTATTATTTAAAAGTGTTGACAGTTTTGTTAAAGACATTCTTAATGGAAACAAGTCATTACTCTCCTTCATTAATAAGACAATTTCTAAAAACCACAAAGGCAATAATTTCAATCCTCCATTATGAACAATTATTTATAGGCCTGAAATGTTCATGTGTCCGTAATATCATCCCCCAAAACTTCCTCCTTTTCAAATTCCAATTGGACTTAGAAAAAAAAAAAAAAGACTTTTCCAAGTTCAACGATATTTAACACGAACGTCAGGATTCTACCTGCTTCTTTACTAGTAAATCCCTTTTACTCATTTTCAAGTACTGGCTTTGTTAAGCATCAAAATAACCTAATATAAGTACTCCTTTAACTGCCATTTAAGAAGCTTATGGTGCTTAATTCACCCTTAAAGTTTTACTTTAATCATTCATTTTATGACCATTTAAAACTAGCCATCTGCATTGAGGGAAATCATTTATTCAACAAATACTTACTGATTTACAATAAATAAATAGCAAATAGTTATTGTTCCTACTCTGTGCTAGGTACTGAGGCCATGACACATCCCCTATCCTGGGAGTACCGACACCATAATTATCTGTTAATGTATTACTAATATTTGTTGGTTTATTTATTTATCACCAGTTCACTAGTATAGCACCCTAAACATCTCCTATGAATCTGGGCCCAAACCATGAGCTCAAAAATTGTTTATATATTTTAAGAGTCTGCGGAATAGATAAAAAAACAAACAGATTTTATGAATAAGTCTGTCGAAGGAGGGAAAAAAAGACAGAAAAATCAATATCTGTGATGCCTGCTGTACTCTCAAATATTTTTAAAAGGAAGCCCTATTTACATACAGATTTAATTCAGTTAATTCAGAAGCAACATCACATATACTTGATATTTAATTTTACATAATTAAATAATATTGCTGTGATTTATACATGTGTATGGTAACTAGAGTAACTCAATTATGCATATAACAAACAAATACTGAGAGGCCCGTGCAGTAGTAAGATTTGTTGGTTATTACTGGACATGAATAAGCCACATGCAAAGACCTAGGCATTCCTGGGTCACTGTGGCATGATTCAGCCAGCTGATATGGCTGCAGCAAATTGAGACACCCATAAATTATGATAGACTTGAATATACACTCATACCAGGCTTTTGTTCTGCTAAAGCTGGCTCACAGTCAAGTGGTAAACAATTAAATAAATATACCACCTACCAACTTAGCTGTGCAAACTCTTATAATTATACCACTCACCCTTAACAAGGCAAATCTAAGGACATAATAGCCTTCATGGGATCTGTAGTCTGTCAGGAGAAGGGACACACATGGTCTACAAAAGAAAATAATTTAAACCAAAATGTCATCAGCACTGAGGCCTTTATATATTTTGTGGTTTTTCTCACTGAAGCAGGAAGAGTATTCAATTTGTAACATATTGATATGATTATCTTGAACTGAGTTGAGCCTTACTGAAGAAACCGTATTATGTTGCTCTTTCTTTGATTGTGAAGATTTCTCTGTTCAGAAAAATCCATTTGAATCCTATTTGTCAAATTTTAGTATATCCAGGACAAACCATCCCTATGTAAATATGTAAGATTTGCTAGTAAAAGAAAAAGGAACTAGGTTTTAGTATTATGATTACAAAAAGAACAGTCAAGGGAGATTTTGTATAAAAATATTACGTTGTTGGACAAAAATATAGCTACATAATAGGGAAACTCTTATAGTCTTCGTATGTTATTTATTAAAAAAGAAAGTCTACCTTAAATCTTTATAATTAATTACTTCAGATAAGCAACAGCTGTTTGACTCTTGCAGATTTTTTTTAAAAATCTATTTCTAGAAATAGAATGTCTTGTTTCTATAATGCTCATTTACTACAACATTTAGTTTAATCACATGAGCATTTGGAGAAAATAATTTATTTTTACCACATAAGATGTTCTTACAATCACATCAGCCATTTGTGAGTCTCACTTAAAATAGTCAACTTTTACACTTTGTGTAATGTGAAGAAATTCTCTCATTAACAATCAATTTTGGTAAGTGTAATGAAAACTGTTATGTAGTAAATGAGAGACTACAATTATGTTTCAAAAAGAAAAAAAAGAAAAAAAAAACAGAAAGATGCCTTAAATCATTTGGTTGCCCCTCAATATAAAAACTGGAATTTCAGTTTTTTCATTCCCAGTAATGCTAATTGTTTTTAATGAAGACCCTTTTAGTAAATTAATCGAGGACATTTTAGAGTTAGGGAGACTCTTAGAGATTGTGAAGATGACACTGTTTATTTCATAACTAAACTCAGACTTGAGGCAGTTGGGACCAGAACAAAGCATAGAGCAAGTGAGCCAGAGTTAATAATTGGTCTCCAGTCTTCAGAACCCTGTTGAATCATCTATGACAATATATTGCCTTCCTAACTATCAATATGTGCAACTGCATTTTAAGACTTTAAAATATTATTTCTCCTTTTTCTTAGCATGTTCAAAATATAATAAGGAAAAACCAAAAACAAGCCCTAGCTCTCATATAGGCTTTCTACTTCAAACCAAGCAAACATTATTTCCAAATAAACAAATTTTCTACTGATTGGCCTCTTTTGTTGGCATGTTGGTATGTTCCCTGTGTACCTACAACTGCTTGACAGCAGGCACAGCATTAAAAAGCCATAAGCTTAACTATCCTCCGAAGAAAAAAATTTGGATTGGAGCCCTGTTTTTTGGTGAGGTGACTTGACTTTCCTAAGAAGGCTGAATTTCAAGAGGAGGATGGGCTAGAGTAAAAAATGGGAGGGGAATAAAAACCCTCTAAGCAGGCTTGGATTCATTAACTGTAGATATTTACAAAGATTTATTTCAAAGATAATCATGAAAAAAATTGCTTTTTTGGGATATCTACATTGTGCCTCCTTGTACTGATATGAAGAATCAAGATGAGATTTTGATTTTGCATACATACAAGAATTTTGAGGCTTCAATGCTACTATAATCCAAACTGTAATGGTATAAAAGAGCTTGCTGTGATATTTGTTTTGATAGTCTCATAAACTAATATTCAGCTATAAAATAATAATATGTCCAGCCAGATACAGTGGTCCATACCTGTAATCCCAGCACCTTGGTGGGGCTGAGGCAAGAGGATTCCTGAGCCCAGGAGTTCAGGACCAGCCTGGGAAATATAGTGAGACCCCCATCTGTACAAAAAAAGAAAGAAAGAAAAAATAGCTGGATGGGTGGCAAGCATCTGTAGTCCTACTCGGGAGGCTGAAGTGGGAGGATTGCCTTGAGCCCAGGAGTTTGAGGCTGCTGTGAGCTATAATTATGCCACTAGAATTATATTCATTTATCAAAAATGAAAGAGTATTTTGACTGTATAAAATTGTCTTATAAAGAATATCAACCTCCATAAGAAGAGATATTCTGGGATGGCAAAAATAAGTTTTTGAAAGAGAGGCAAAGATTGGCCAAAAATTCAAATATATAAACACTGAGGAAAATTTCTGTTTTTTTTTCAGACCTAGGAATGTATTATAACCAGTGTATCATTTATTAGTGAATAGGTTGTATCTTGCATGAGAAGAAATCCAAGGCCAATGAAATCAGGACAACTCTGTGCACCCTCCCTATACGTCTTTAAGATCCTAATAATTCTCCAACTCAGATGTGAACACTTTGTTGTTAACTCTAGCCATATATCAAAGTTGCTCTCCTAAAAATTTTAGAAATGTAGAAATGGTGTTAAAAAGCATTCTTGAGGATAAACCATCATCACTGGATAATGATAAATTATCCAAGTTAAACAATAGTATTACATTATCATTGTTTAAACACAATTGCTAAAATGCTATTAGTTATTACTGAGGAAGAAATTTCCTACAGAATTAGGAATTTATTGTTTTATTAATGTGAGTTTTCAGTGATTAAAACTCCCTCACCTACCCCCACCCCACATTTAACTCATATTGTCTTTTCTCTTTAGACTTTCACAGATAAAAATGGTTGCATTTTAAATTGTTCAGATTAAAAATTTGCTTTAATCAGTTTTTCTCAATTTCAGACCATTTATTTGGCATCCATATAGTTGCTTTTGCTTATTTTGTACAATGAATAAAATGTTGACAGAAAGGAAGAGGTAGAACTAAAAAAAAAATTTTCAGATTATTTTTCTTGTAATCTCTGGAAACACTATGAAGACAAAAAACATTTTTACCCCTTAGTCATTGATGTTTATGCTCAGAGAAATATATGTCACCAAAAAAATCTATAACTAGTAATAAAAGAAATAAAAGCTGTAACTAGTGATAAAACATGTTATAGTTACTACAAATTACACATCTACATATATACATATGTAAGTACATACATGTATATATTACATATCTATATGTAATATATAACATAAATAACAATAAATCAAAAATAATTATATTTCAATGTTTCAATGTAATATGTATCAAGCCATATAATATATATTATCTCTAGTACATATACAGTCATATATATGTGCATGGGATACATTCTGAGAAATGCATTGTTAGTCAGGTTCATTGTTGTGCAAACATCATAGAGCGTACTTAGATGGTATAACTTACCACACACCAAGTCTAAATGGTATGGCATATTGTTCCTAGGCTACAAATATGTGCAACATGTTAATGTACTGAATACTGTAGGCAATTGTATCACAAAGGTAAGTATTTATATAAACATATCTAAACATAGAAAAGGTAGTGCATTGTACTACCACATTAAGAAGGCTAGGGCATCGCTAGGTGGTAGGAATTTTTCAGTTCAATTATAATCTTATGAGACTATTATCCTATATGAATCTGTCATTAACCAAAACATGATTATGAGACACATGATTGTATCTGTGTTTAATTACTCATTATTCAAATATAAATCTTTATATGTGTTGCATACATTTATGTAAATATAATTTCATGTTATATATACACAAATGAAATATATCATATATATTATGTACATAAATTACTATAAGGACTTTAATTTTCTTTCAAATAACCAGTTATATATGTGAAAACTAACCTTTGACTTTCTATAATGCAGTCGCCTTTTTGTCAGCATTTATTTCATTAAAAGGTGAATATAATACAGAATCAACAGGAAGATAAAATCATTTGAAAATATGTCAACCAAATTTAATCCATGATGTTTATGGATATTATATCTTCAATGCTAATTAGAAAATTTTTTAAATAAACAACAAAGGAAAATATTTAATGGTTATATGAGTCAAAATATCAGACTTGCTAAATCATGTTCTCTACAGGGAAAAAATATTAAACATTTATAAAATAATCCTTTACATTTCCTCATCTGATTTTTGAAAGCCTCATACTTAACGTGAAGTATGCTAGGTACATGTTTCAAAATTATAGAAATCTGAACATGTTCTCATCATCTTATGACATTAATATCATGTAAAACCTTGGTTAAATAATAATACTATAGGAGAGGAAAAGATAAATGTTTCCTCTACCTTTTTAGGTTTATTCCTGAAGCCTGTAAATTAAACTGACAAAAGACAGATTAACAGGTGAAAAGACACACACATAAATTTATTAACATTTTGATATACACAGGGGCTTCACATAAAAATGAAAACCCAAAGAAGTGGTTAGACTTGGGGGCTTCTATGTCATTTTTAAAAAGTGTAATACATCATAGAAAAGTGATGACAAAGGAAGGGGGTGCTTGGGCTACTAAGTGAGGTAAATTGTGGGAAGGTGACTAGCAAACTTATGATAAATAAATGTTGTTTAGTAAGGTTTGTTATGCAGACTCAAATCTCCAGTGAGAAGAGTAGTCTTTGAAGTTGTCCTCATCTTCCTGGTATAAGCAAGGGCACATCTCCACAAATGAAAATTTATGTCACCCTTACAAAGGGAAATTTATGCTCTGCTTTGAGGCAGATGGGGGAGGGCAGAGAGCTCCTCATGTATCTGCTGTTCTTCAGTTACCTTCAGTTCAAAATAATCCTCATGCCAAAATAGCATATTTTGCCATGCCATATTCTAAATCCCTTTAATAGTAATCTGTCTCATCTGCCTCCTACCCTAGTTGTGTATGTGATCCGGTAGAATAAAGAAAGAGAGAGGAAAAAATAAAGGAATTCAAAAAACAAACTATTTGTTTCCTTAATGTAATTGCCAAAAAAAAACATTTCTTGTTTTTGAGATTTACTATTTACAGACAATTTTACTGAGCCATTTGTTTATTTAGGATGGCCTGCTAGAAGTCTGTTTTCTTTCATTGCCAGCTGTTTATTTATTGTCACATTTAAACACCATCTACATTCTTCAATTTTTATGTAGAAGTATGATTATTTTCCTTGATTAATAAATAGGAATAGAATATGGATAAGAAGCATGCATTGTACCTATCCTAATCAAAATAAACTTTATATTGGTCATATATCTGTGAGCCTCATGATAAATGATTCTGTAAAACTTTATTTATTGACATATATTTAAAGCTAATATTAGTCTAGGTGGATTTCTTTAAAAGAAAGAGTCATTAATTATTTTTGAGTTGTCAGTGTTTGCCAGCCTTCACATTGTGTCAGTTTTGAGTACATTAAGTCAGTTTGCAAATATTATTTATAAAACACTGATTCTATATATCCAAAGAATTTACAGGTAAAATAACATTTTGGAACTTGGAAGATTCACATTCTCCCTCTATTTCTTTTTTTTTTTTTTCAAGCAAAGGGGAAGAAAATGAGTGCCCTTAGAGAGAGCAGCTGTCAGCACTGGTTTTTGGAAAGTTCATGTCACACAGTCTGACTTTCATATCATATTGTAATAGCTGCTTTCAAGAGTTATGATTGATTAGGGCTTACTAAAAATTCCAGTGTCAGTTGCAGCCTAAAAGGCAACAATTCTCCTGTATTTGAATAAAAACAGTCTAACTCTTCAGACCTTGGCATCCTTTATTCTCATTCTGAGGAAAGAGGTAATACTGTCCCTAGCAAAAGTGTTGCAGAAACTGACTTTAATTTTTAAGCCTAGATTTATTCATTTTTTCCCATAGAAACATAATTTTATTTTATCTCTTCTATTTTTGAAAAAAGTTTGTCTAGGTAATTAGTAAGAGCTGAAGGTACACTATGAAACTAGGTTCGATTTTTTTTAATTTAAATCTGAATGTGAAGTGGTGTTTCTTTTTAGTCCACCTTTCTAGATTTTTAAGCTTTAGTTTGTCTTCTTGAAGATAAATGTCAAAAAATATTATTAAAATCCAAATAGACTTTTCTTATGTCAGATAAAACTTACTAATGACAGCAGGTTATTTACCAAAGTACTACAGACTAGCAAATTTATGACTGTCATGGTATTTTAATAGATTTGATATTAATGACATGAAAAACAAAAATAAACACAGAACTATTACGTTGATTAAATAGAAAATTGCCAATAAAATGAACCTGTCAAATTTAACTATTGAGTTTGAAATTTTCTAATTTGAAAAAAGAAATGGACAAAACAAGTAGGCTTTGAGGCCAAATATGCAATAGAGTTATTGAGAAAGAAAACCCGATAGTACCCAAACAAACAGTACCTAAAATAGAACATAAACGTTCCTAGAATATAAACATTCCCATAGAACAAGAACAAAGCTCTGCTACTGAAAAACTTGCTGCTTGCTTACAGAATGAATAGAAGTGAATGTACTAGAAGCTGTAATTTTTCAGTGATGTCATTAACAGTTGATTCTAATGATATCTTGAGGAGTTAGGCTATGTTCCTATATTTAGCAGAAAATAGAACTTACGTGGAGGGAGACACTGAACTATATATACAGTTGATAAATTACTTTCCAAAAGTCATTTAATGAGTTAAGGAAAGCAGATTCTGATGAATTTGGCTGTAGTAAAATCTTCAGATTACCCAAGATTAACTCCAAGAAGGAAAAAAGTCTGAAAACAACCAAATGTTAAGCCTCTTCTTAAACAATTATAAATTTAAAGTACACTTCGTAAATTTTCACTGAAACGGAAACTTTGTACTTAGTGATGTAGATTTCTTTCAGTGTTCCGAGAGAGATTAATGTGGGTTTCTTGAGGTGGTATGGAGAATGTAGAATTCAACCCAGTAAAATAAAACATTTTTGTTTGAATTATTTACATGCTATTAAAGAAAAGATTTACTTAATGCATATGGTAATATAGCTTGAATTCTTTTTTGTTTCTCTTTTAAACATATAACAAGTTAATGAGGACTTCCAGAAGGCAAATATAAAAATAAAGTTTTTCTCAAGTATAAATTGATTTGTAGAATCACAGAATTTTATAGCAGGAAAATCTCGTAATGATGAGTAAATTTATTCCACACACTATGGCATGAATCATTACACAAAGTCTGTGATCAAGTGACCATTATCTCTGCTTCAACACTCTACCTTATAAGACAGGACAGAGCACAGTTTTTTTTTAGGTAGTTCCATCAGTGTTACAAAAATATTTTTTTCCCTTATGTTTGCTTAAAGAATAATTTCCTCTCATTGATTTTAGTTCTACCCTCTGGAAATTTTCATGTTATGCATAATCCCTTTCTGCTCTACAGTCTTTCACATATTTTAAGACCATATGGTGTTTTCTCACATTTCTTTCCCAGCATAAACAACTTCAGCTTTTTAAAATTACTGTTCATGTCTTTAGGAAGAAAGAAAAGTTGTACCTAAAGAGAGGAGGCTCATTTACATGGGTAAGACCTAATATAGCTCCAGGCAATTTGATTACATCATAAGGCTTACAGCATCATTGAATAAATATGCTTAGATGTACAAAAGCATTGTGAATGGCTCCTACTCACATAGCAAAACAAACTAGACTTCTTTAAATACGCAATAGAGTGGTATCTACCTCTTAAATACTTAGTATCTCAATATCAGTAGGAATGTCTATCATTCCAGGTATTTACTAATTTAACCTGTCACCCAACATTCCCAATAAATTCCTTTCTGAGATTTATCTTCCCCCATGTCCATATTCAACATCATTAATAACTGAACCACTGGTAACTGGCAGATTCTACCTGTACCCTCCCATTCCCAATCATCTTGAGAAATTTTGTGCTTGAATTTGGACTGGATTAAAACTTCATCTAGCATATTAATTGTCCGTCCTATTTTGTGTCATCTGAAAATTTAATAATCACGCTTCATATGTCTTCAGCTAAGTCATTCACATAAAAAATGGTAGTCTATAAAACGAGGTGTTTTCATCTGGGATTGCACATGATGATTAGAGCCATTGAAATGGAAAAGAAAATATTAGAGGACTTACATTTTTATCTATACAATTAGGCTATATTAACTCTCATTAATATTTATAATATAGATTGACTTATAACCCAACCAGGTTTTAAAGTCAGAGTGAATGTGAGTTCTTTAACACAGAAGGCTGGATGGTGATAACCTAAGGATCTGTCATATTTAACATGTTGCTACATACTGAAGTTTTCATATTCTAAGCATATTTCCTGGCTATTTACATGAACAAGTAGTTTAAAAGTTTTCTGCTAAGAAAATACAACTGAAAATAATATTGTTTTGCAAATGTAAGCAAAAGAAAAAAATGGCATAACTGATACACTTCCAGTATAGCCCAATAATCAGACACATTACGTACACATGAGAATCTAAGCAGAATTGGCAAAAAGTCAGCCCCCAATTTTTTAATTATTGAGAAGATTATTCCAAACACAGTTTTATACCTTCAATTGTTGAGAATAAATACAGCAATAAATTTATGATGTGCCTTGGGATATTACTAAATAATTAAATGAAAGCATCACAAATAGGAAGACATTTAAAAAGCAAGCAGTTAGAATGTTATTAATAATATATTTTTAGAGTAACTTTGTATGTTCATAAATCAAATGTTATTTGCTCAATCTTTATCTCATTATTTTCCATTTCACTTTTTGTATAGATTTTATAATCAACATAGTTTTAACACAGAAGTAGGTAAATAAGTTACAAGTCAGATGTCAGCAAGGTGGTGGAATAGGACTTTGCAGTGCTCGTCCCCTGCAAAAACATCAATTTGAATAAGTACACGTGCTTGAAAACACCTTCACAAAAAACTAAGGAATCCAGGTGAGAGATTACAACCCAGGAATGTAGCACAGAAATAAGAAAAGACACACTGAAGAGAGTAGGAAGGAGAGTTTTACATTACCTGCATCATCCTTCTCCCTCCCAACCCCAGGCAGTATAACATGGAGAGAGATAACTCTCTGCTCGGGCGAAGGAGAGGGAAGCAAGCACAGGACTTTGCCTCTGATCAACACTGGGACTCTCCCAGTAAAATCCAGCAGCATGTAGGTCCGCATGGCCCTAGACTGTAGTCTTGCACCCATAGAGTAAACTTCTAGGCCCACTCCAGCATAAGGTTGGATCACACAGCCCTAGTCTCCAGGCCTACCCAGAAGACTCATTATGTGAGCCCACCCCACCAACAGTCTGCATTACTCTAGCCCCTGGGCAGGCTCTAGCCTCTGAACAGGCCCCAGCACTGGGCTGGCACCAGTGGCCTTGGGCTTCAGGCTGACTCCAGCACCAGCCCAGCTCCTACGTACTCTCAATCCAGGCTGACCTTTCTGACCCCAGGCTTTAGGCTGACCCCACAGATTCAGTCTCTAAGCCCACAACAGGTCCAGGCCTACCCCAGCAGCCCCAGGCTTTAGGTTCACCTGTGTCAGGCCAGCTCCTGTAGCCTTAGACATCAAGTCAACAATCCATGGACCCATCCTCTAGGATAGTCTCTGTGGCCCCAAGCTCCAGGCCCAATCAAGGCCCAGGCCAGTGTAGAGCCAGGTTGGCTCACATAGCCCTAGGCTTCAGCCTTGCCTTAGCACCAGGACAGCTCCAGGATCCAGGCCAGTCACAGTGGTTCCAGGGTCCAGTGGGCCTAGGGTCTGGGACTACCCCAGTAGATTCCAGTTCCAGAACAACCCCAATAGGCTAAGTTTTTGGGGCTACCCCTGCAGAACCAGGCTCAAAGCCCACACCAGCACCAAGTTAACCCCTGTAGAGACAAACTTTAGACTACATGCTGTGGATACAGGCTCCAGGCCTGCCCTTATAGACCCAATCAACAAGTCCATCCCAGTAGATCCAGGCTCCAGGCTCAATCCCACGGACCCAGATGCCAGGCTTATGCACCTGCTCACCCAGGCACCAGCCAGCCTGCCCAAGGACTCTAGCAGAAAGCCTGCCCATGAAGAATACTAGAAGTCTGGCCCAAAATCTCTGAACAGGCTGAGTAGTGATGAATTTTTCCAGATAAAGCCAATATGCAAAGACTACAATAAGTCCTTACTTCTTCAAATGTACTGACACCAATGTACAGCCATAAGAATTAAGAACAATTAGGGGAACATCATCAAAGGAATGAAATAAAGTACCAATAAGCAACTCTAAAGAAACAGAGATGTATAAACTGCCTGAAAAAGAATTCAAAACAATTCTTTGAGGGAATCTCAATGAACTTAAAGAAAATATATAAATGAACTTAAAGAAAATATATAAAATCAATTCAACAAAATCAGGAATACAATAAGCAATCAAAATGAGAAATTGAACAGAGAGGATAAAATTATTTTAAAAATTGAAACCTAAATTTGAAGCTAAAAAATACAATAAACAAAATAACAAAATGCAATAGAAAGTATTAAATAGCAGAACTGATCCAGCAGAAGAAAGAATCTGTGAACTGGAAGACAGGTTATTTCAAAATATACTGTCAGAGGAGAAAAAAGAAAAAAATAAATAAGTAAGAACTTTTATAAAGCTTGTGCAACTTGTGAGACAGCATCACAAGAGCAAATACTCAAAAACAGAAAGTTTCCATAAAGAAAATAACAAAGGACCAGAAAACTTGTTAAAAGAAATCATAGAAAATTTTCCAAATTTGGATAAAGATATAAATATCCAGATATAGGTCAAAAGTCACCAGTAAAATTCAATAAAAACAAGGCTACATCAAGACATGTTATGATTAAACTATAAAATACAAGAACAGTCCAGGCACAGTGGCTCACACATGTAATCCCAGAACTTTGGGAGGCCAAGGTGGGAGGATTGCTTGAATCCACAACCAATCTGGGCAACAAAGAGAGACCCCTGTATCTACAAAAAATAATTAGCTGAGCATGGTGGTACATACCTGTAGTCCCAACTAATGGGAGGCTAAGATGGAAGGATCACTTGAGACCAGGAGTTTTAGGCTGCAATGAGCCATGAACACATTACTGTTCTCCAGCCTGGGGAACAGAGCAAGACCCCATCTCTAAAAAATAAATAAAATAAAATAAAATAAAATAAAATAAAATCAAGAACAAAGAGAGACTCCTTAAAGCATCAAGAGAAAATAATATTACAGATAAAGGAGTCCCAACAATGCCAGGAGCACACTTCTCAATATAAACCTTATGAGCCAGGAGAGACTGAGATTATATATTCAAAGTGCTGAATAAAAAAAACAAAACTGTCATTCAAGAATACTTTAAATGGCAAAGCTGTCCTTTAGAAATAGAGGAGAGACAAAGACTTTTTCAGATAAATAAAAGCTAAGGGAGTTTATTACCACCAGGCCTGTCTCACAAAAAAATGCTAAAGGAAGCACGTCAAGCTGAAAGTAACGGATGCTAACTAGTAGCAGGAAAATACGAATACATAAATCTCACTGGTAAAAGTAAATATGCAGTCAAATACCACATACTCTAATACTCTAATGGTGGTATATAAATCATTCATATATTTAGTATGACGGTTAAAATACAAAATGATTAAAAACAATAATAGTTGTAATAAGTTTTAAAAACTACACAATGCAAAAAATGCACATTGTGACATCAAAAATATAAAATGTGGTTGAGGGATGCCAGTGGCAGACCTAACTGGTAAGGAAAAGGTAGTCTAGGACAGCTGGCTGGTAAGTGACACTAATTCTCTTCACCCCACTTGACCCCCAAGAGTTGATTATGGAAGATTCTCACAAGTGTAACACATCAGAGACAGCATCTCAACCTGGTTCAGCAGTTCAGGGAGCTCATATTTCTCATATTACTAAACAGATGGCACTAAGATGATCTGTACTAATGACAATGGTACCTCTTCCTGGAGAGCAAGTACAGGTTCAGGGTGTCATCCAGACAGCTCAGTCTTCTGTAATTCACCCACCACATGTGCCAATAGTATGATCTTTATCAGAAGGTGAGGAGTCTCAGGACCCATCTGACAGCTTAGGCTCTTTACAGAAAGCCTACAGGATCCTAGCACGGCATTCATCTTACAGAAAAATTTTAAAAGACCTATCTTCTGAAGATATATGGGGCAGAAAAGGAGATGGAGAAAACCCTGGAGTTTTTGCTGTCACTTCTGTCTGTTCCCACTCCTATCTATCAGAAGGGCAGCAAATAGTACATTGCCATTGTCTCAAGTGGAGACTCACCATTGGCCAGTTCAGGCACAGCTGGAGTACAGAGACTTCAGACATAATTAACCATGACAAATTCAGGCAATACTCAGCAAGGTACAACTATTCTCCAGCATATGCAGGTCCCTGATGGACAGCAAATACTTGCATCCAGCAATCAGTTGGTTGTACAGACTGCATCAGGTGATAGGCAGATATATCAGATCCAAACTGCCTTCAACTACTTCTCTGCCACAAACTATGATGATGACATCTCCTGTGACTCTTACATACCAAACAAATAAGACAGAAGACCCCCAGTTGAAAGGAGAAATAAGGTTAATGAAAAACAGGTTGCTTGATGAACTTGACAAGTTGCTTCTAAAATCTATGGAAGAGTAAACAACAAAGAACAGCTAAAATATTTCAGACAAGATAAGAAAAGCCACTTGAGGCCGGGCGCGGTGGCTCACGCCTGTAATCCCAGCACTTTGGGAGGCCGAGGAGGGTGGATCATGAGGTCAGGAGATCGAGACCATCCTGGCTAACAAGGTGAAACCCCGTCTCTACTAAAAATACAAAAAATTAGCCAGGCGCGGTGGCGGGCGCCTGTAGTCCCAGCTACTCGGGAGACTGAGGCAGGAGAATGGCGTGAACCCGGGAAGCGGAGCTTGCAGTGAGCCGAGATTGCGCCACTGCAGTCCGCAGTCTGGCCTGGGCGACAGAGCGAGACTCCGTCTCAAAAAAAAAAAAAAAGAAAAGCCACTTCAGAATATCAAAGGAGAAAGAAAGAATATGTGAAAGGCCTAGAAAATTGAGTTATAGTTATGAAAAATAAAAATAAAACTCTAATAGAAGAGTTAAAAACTGAAGAATATTGATTTGAATAAAAGTGCTTGATTCTTAAGAAAGAAGATATTATTGTGGACCTTCATAAAAATTAAATAAAATTTTAGTGGAATTTTATAAATTAAAACTTTAAAAGTGAAACTTTTTATTTAAGCTTTTGCAACTCAAGGATAAACATCTTATACAATATATTTGGTGATGGAAGATTAAGTAGAAAATGACCCCAAGGCAGCTACTGGCATGAATGAAAGCTTTGTAAAAATTAAACATACTCAAGAAGCAAGAAATAAACTCTCAGCAATCTGAATTTTCTAAATAACAACAGCTGTCAATCCAAAGTGGCAGAGAAGATAAAATTTGGTAAATTATATTTTTAAAAACAAATTAATTTATACCATAGGATTGCATTTCTAGTTCCTGAAATTTACCGTTTTCAGTTATGTGTGTGTGTGTATTTTATTTCCGCCAACAAATTCTAAATTACAAATGTAAATGAAAACCCATTAAATTAGTAAACATATAAATTATGTGTTTTCATTATTTATACTTGTTCTATTGTCAAGTCTTTAAAATGGGGTTTTAAAAGTTTGTTTGTTGGACTTGAGAAGATTTTCAAGACTGGGTTAATTATTTTTGAGGTCTTGTTCTAAAAGGCATCTAAGGTACATGAATGAAGTATGGTGATTTTGTAACATTTTTAAACAGTTTTCTTTGACTACCTACCAACCTGCCTCCAGGCAATACTCAGGCAATACTCAATACTACCTCAATAAGTATATTTGATTGTATAATACCTTGATAAGTAGTCTACTACTATCAAGTTTACTAACTTGATAAGTAGTCAAAAACAACTGTTTTAAAAAATTAGCTTTACTTTTAAATAGTTGGTTTTTGCTTACTCTGGTAATGTTGGTTTTCTAAGAATACATAATAAATTTTTTGTTTTAATTCTATATTCTGTATGCCATTAAATATTCATTACATAATCTGTTATGTTTTAATAGAATGGAATGTTCACAGGCTCTTAAAATGCCATTTTAAAAAAGCCTTCTGAAGATTCATACCAAAGTTTTTTCAAGAAGTTTTTTTTTTTTTTTAAGTTCCAAGATACATGTGCAGAAGGTGCAGGTTTGTTACATAGGTATACATGTGCCATGGTGGTTTGTTGCACCTATTGACCCATCCTAAGTTCCCTCCCCTCTACCACCACCTCCCAAAAGGCCCTGGTATTTGTTGTTCCCCTCTCTGTGTCCATATGTTCTCATTGTTCAACTCCCACTTATGAGTGAGATCATGTGGTGTTTGATTTTCTGTTCCTGTGTTAGTTTGCTGAGGATGATGGGTTCCAGCTTCATTCATGTCCCTGTAAAGGACAAAATCTCATTCCTTTTTATGGCTGCATATTATTCCATGGTGTATATGTACCACATTTTCTTTATCCAGTCTGTCATTGATGGGCATTTGGGTTGGTTTCATGACTTTGTTATTGTAAATAATGCTGCAGTAAACATACGTGTTCACGTATCTTTATAGTAGAATGATTTAATTCCTTTGGTTATATACCCAGTAATAGGATTGCTGGGTCAAGTGGTATTTCTGGTTCTAGATCCTTGAGGAGTAGACATACTGTCTTCCACAATGGTTGAACTAATTTACATTCCCGCCAGCAGTGTAAAAGTGTTCTTATTTCTCCACAGCCTCACCATCATATATTGTTCCTTGGCTTTTTAATAATTGACATTCTGATTGGCATGGGATGGTATTTCATTGCGGTTTTGATTTGCATTTCTCTAATGATCAGTGATGTTGAGCTTCTTTCATTTTTTTGGCCACATAAATGTCTTCTTTTGAGAAGTGTCTGTTCATATCTTTTGCCCATTTTTTCACAGGGTTTTTTATTTTTTTCTTGTAAATTTAAGTTCCTTGTAAATTCTGGATAGTAGACCTTTGTCAGATGGGTAGATTGTAAAAATTTTCTCCCATTTTTAGGTTGCCTGTTCATTCACATGATAGTTTATTTTGCTGAGCAGAAGCTCTTTAGTTTAATTAGATCTCATTTGTCAATTTTGACTTTTGTTGCATTTGCTTTTGGCGTTTTCATCGTGAAGTCTTTGCCCATGCCTGTGTCCTAAATGGTATTGCCTAGGTTTTCTTCTAGGATTTTTAGGGTTTGGG
Source organism: Homo sapiens (assembly GCF_000001405.40). Classification (NCBI taxonomy): domain Eukaryota; kingdom Metazoa; phylum Chordata; class Mammalia; order Primates; family Hominidae; genus Homo; species Homo sapiens. The sequence goes on along the minus strand of NC_000006.12, from coordinate 92,885,123 downwards.
GTTTTACATTTAAGTCTTCAATCCATCTTGAGTTAATTTTTGTACAAGGTGTAAGGAAGGGGTCCAGTTTCAGTTTTCTGCATATGGCTGGCCAGTTTTCCCAGCACCATTTATTGAATAGGGAATCCTTTCCCCATTGCTTGCTTTTGTCAGGTTTGTCTAAGATCAGATGGTTGTAGAGGTGCAGTGTTATTTCTGAGGTCTCTGTTCTGTTCCACTGCTCTATATGCCTGTTTTTGTACCAGTACCATGATGTTTAAGTTACTGTAGCCTTGGAGTATAGTTTGAAGTCAGGTGGCATGATGCTTCCAGCTTTGTTCTTTTTGCTTAGAATTATCTTAGCTATATGGGGTCTTCTTTGATTCCATATAAAATTTAATGTGGTTTGTTCTAATTCTGTGAAGAATGTCAATGGTAGTTTAATGGGAATAGCATTGCATCTATAAATTACTCTGGGCCGTATGGCCATTTTCAGGATATTGATTCTTCCTATCCATGAGGATCGCATGTTTTGCCATTTGTTTGTGCCCTCTCTTATTTCCTTGAACAGTGGTATGTAGTTGTTGAAGAAGTCCTTTACATCCCTTGTTAGCTGTATTCCTAGGTATTTATTCTTTTTGTGGAAATTGTGAATGTGGTTTTATTCATGATTTGGTTCTCTGCTTGTCTATTGTTGGTGTAAAGGAATGCTTGTCATTTTTGCACATTGATTTTGTATTCTGAGACTTTGCTGAAGTTGCTTATTAGTTTAAGGAGTTTTTGGGTTGAGATGATGGGGTTTTCTAAATATAAAATCATGTCATCTGCTAACAGAGACAATTTGACTTCCTCTCTTCCTATTTGAATAACCTTTGTGTCTTTCTCTTGCCTGAGAGCCCTCACCAGAATTTCCCATACTACATTAAATAGGAGTAGTGAGAGAGGGCATCCTGGTCTTGTAATGGTTTTCAATGAGAATGCTTCCAGCTTTTGCCCACTCAATATGATATTGGCTGTGGGTTTGTCATAAGTAGCTCTTATTATTTTGAGATATTTTCCATCAATAACTAGCTTATTGAGAGTTTCTAACATGAAATGATGTTGAATTTTATCAAAGGCCTTTTCTGCATCTATTGACATAATCATATGGTTTTTGTCTTTGGTTCTGTTTATATGATGGATTATGTTTATTGATTTACACATGTTGAATCAGCCTTGCATCCCAGGGATGAAGCTGACTTGATTGTGATGGATAAGTTTTTTGATGTGCTGCTGGATTCACTTTGCCAATGTTTTATTGAGGATTTTTGCATCAATGTTCATGAGGAATATTGATCTGAAGTTTTCTTTTCTTTGTTGTGTCTCTACCAGGTTTTGGTATCAGGAAAATGCTGGCTTCATAAAATGTTAGGGAGGAGTCCCTCCTTTTCAATTTTTTGGAATAGTTTCAGAAGGAATGGTGCCAGCTCCCTCTTTGTACCTCCAGGAAAATTCGAATGTCAATCTCTCTGGTCCTGTGCTTTTTTTGGTTGGTAGGCTATTAATTTCAGAACTTTTTATAAGTCTATTCATGGATTCAATGTCTTCCTGGTTTAGTCTTGAGAGGGTGTATGTGTCCAGGAATTTATCCATTTCTTCTAAATTTTCTAGCTTATTTGCATAGAGGTATTTATAGTATTTTCTGATGGTAGTTTGTATTTCTGTGAGGTCAGTGGTGATATCCTCTTTATCATTTTTTTATTGTGTCTATTTGATTCTTCTCTCTTCTTTATTAGTCTAGCTAGCAGTCTATTTTGTTAAATTTTCCAAAAAAAAAAAAAATCAGCTCCTGGATTCCTTGATTTTTTGGAGGGCTTTTCTCTGTCTCTATCTCCTTCAATTCTGCTCTAATCTTAGTTATTTCTTGTTTTCTGCTAGCTTTTGAATTAGTTTGTTCTTGCCCCTCTAGCTCTTTTAATTGCTGTATTAGGGTGTCAATTTGAGATCTTTATAGCTGTCTATTTAGTGCCATAAATTTCCCTCTTAACACTGTTTTAGCTGTGTCCCAGAGATTCTGGTACATTGTTTCTTTGTTCTCATTGGTTTCAAAGAACTTCTTGATTTTTACCTTAATTTCATTATTTACATTCAGGAGCACATTGGTCAATTTCCATGTAATTGTGTGGTTTTGAGTGAGTTTCTTAATCTAGAATTCTAATTTGATTGCACTGTGGTCTGAGACTGTTTTTATTATTTCAGTTCTTTTGCATTTGCTGAGGAGTGTTTTACTTCCAATTATGTGGTCAATTTTAGAATAAGTGCTATGTGTCACTGAGAAAAATGTATATTCTGTTGATTTGGGGTGAAGAGTTCTGTAGATGTCTATTAGGTCCACTCGATCTAGAGCTGAGTCCAAGGCCTGAATGTCCTTGTTAATTTTCTGTCTCATTGATCTGTCTAATATTGACAGTGGGGTGTTAAAGTCTCCCAATATTATTGTGTGGGAGTCTATTATACATCTCTAAAAACTTGTTTTATGAATCGGGGTGCTCCTGTATTGGATGCATATATATTTAGAATAGTTAGCTCTTCTTGTTGAATTGTTCCCTTTACCATTAGGTAATCCTCTTCTTTGTCTTTTTTGATCTTTGTTGGTTTAAAGTCTGTTTTGTCAGAGACTAGGATTGCAACTAGGATTTTATTTTCCATTTTCTTGGTAAATTTTCCTCCATCCCTTCATTTTGGGCCATGTGTGTCTTTGCACATGAGATGGGACTCTTGAATACAACACACCAATTTGCCAGTCTGTGTATTTTAATTGAAGCATTTAGCCCATTTACATTTAAGGTTAGTATTGTTATGTGTGAATTTGGTCCTGTTATCATGATGCTATCTGGTTATTTTGTACACTAGTTCATGCAGTTTCTTCATAGTGTCATTGGTCTTTATATTTTGGTGTGTTTTTGTAGTAGCTGGTACCAGTTTTTCCTTTACATACTTAGTGCTTCCTTCATATGAAGCTTAGTTTGGCTGGGTATGAAATTCTGGGTTGAAAATTATTTTCTTTAAGAATGGTAAATATTGGCTGCCAATATCTTCTGGCTTGTAGAGTTTCTGTTGAGAAGTCTGCTGTTAGTCTGATGGGCTTCCCTTTGAAGGTGGCCTGACCTTTCTCTCTGGCTGCCCTTAACATTTTTTCCTTCATTTCAACCTTGGAGAATCTGATGATTATGTGTCTTGGGGTTGATCTTCTCGTGGAGTATCTTAGTGGTCTCTGTATTTCCTGAATTTGCATGTTGGCCTGTCTTGCTAAGTTGGGAAAGTTCTCCTGGATAGTATCCTGAAGTGTGTTTTCCAGCTTGTTTCCATTCTCCGCGTCTCCTTCATGTACCCCAATCAATCGTTGGTTTGGTCTTTTTAATAAGTCCAATATTTCTTGGAGTGTTTGTTCATTCCTCTTTATCATTTTTTCTCTAGTCTTGTCTGCATTCCTTATTTCAGCAAGGTGGTCTTCAAAATCACATATACTTTTTTCTGCTTGGTTGATTCAGCTATTGATACTTGGGAATGCTTCACAAAGTTCCCGTGCTGTGTTTTTCAGCTCCATCAGGTCATTTATGTTTCTCTCTAAACTAGTTATTCTAGTTAGCAGCCCCTCTAGCTTTTTATCAAGTTTCTTAGCTTCCTTGCATTGGGTTAGAACATGCTCCGTTAGATCATTGTAGTTTTTTATTACCCATCTTCTGAAGCCTACTCTGTCTATTCATCCAACTCATCTTCCATCCAGTTCTGCACCCTTGCTAGAGAGACACTGTGATCATTTGTAGGAGAAGAGTCATTCTGGCCTTTTGGGTTGTCAATATCTTTTCATTAATTCTTTCTCATCTTCATGAATTTGTCTAGTTTCGATCTTTGAGGCTGCTGACCCTTGAATGGAGTTTTTGTGGGGGCTTTTTTGTTGTTGTTGATGCTGTTGTTGCTTTCTGTTTGTTTGATTTTCAGGTCCCTCTTCTGTGGGGCTGCTTCAGTTTGCTAGGGGTTCACTTTAGGTCCTGTTTATCTGGTTTGCTCCCGCACCTGGAGATGTCACTCAAAGAGGCTGAAGAACAGCAAAGATGGGTGCCTGCTCCTTCTTCTGGGATATCTGACCTTGATGGGGCCTAACTTGTTGCAAGTAGAATCACTCCTGTATAGGGTGTCTGACAACCCTTGTTAGAGGGTCTCACACAGTTGAGTGGCTTGTGGAACAGGACTCGTTTAACAAAGCACTTTGCCACTTGGTGGAAGCGGTGTGCCTCACTGGGGGAAACCCATTCATCTGGGCTGCCCAGATTCCTCAGAACTACCAGGAGGAAAGGGAGACTGTGGGTCCCCCTCACCTTAGGGACTCAGGACCAAGGAGATCGGGGTTCTGTCCCTGAGCCTCTGGCTGGGGTTATTGCAGTTCCTGCAGAGAAGCCCCACCCAGTGAGGAAGGATGAGTTAGGGTCAGGCCTTAAGAGACACCGTGGCCACAGTCTGCCACAGACAGTGTGTTGGGCTGTGGAGGACATGTCTTGGGACGAAGATAGGAAATAACTAAGATCAGAGCAGAGCTGAAGGAGATAGAGACACACACACAAAAATAAAACACTTTAAAAAATCAATGAATCCTGGGGCTGGTTTTTTGAAAAGATTAACAAAATAGATAGACTGCTAACCAGACTAATAAAGAAGAAAAGAGAGAAGAATCAAATAGACAAAAAAATTGATAAAGGGGATATCACCACTGATCCCACAGAAATACAAACTGCCATCAGAGACTACCATAAACACCTCTATGCAAATAAACTAGAAAATCTAGAAGAAATGGAGAAATTCCTGGAAACATACACCCTCCCAAGACTAAACCAGGAAGAAGTTGAATCCCTGAACAGGCCAATAACAGGCTTTGAAATTGAGGCAGTAATTAATAGCCTACCAACCAAAAAAGCCCAGGACCAGACTGATTCACAGCCGAATTCTATGAGAGGTACAAAGAGATGCTGGTACCATTCCTTCTGAAACTATTCCAAACAATAGAAAAAGAGGGATTCCTCCCTAACTCATTTTATGAGGGCAGTATCATCCTGATACCAAAACCTGGCAGAGACACAACAAAAAAAGAAAATTTCAGGCCAATATCCCTGATAAACATCAATGCAAAAATCCATCACATAAACAGAATCAATGACAAAAACCACATGAGTATCTCAATAGATGCAGAAAAGGCCTTCGATGGGACCAAGTGGTCCAGCCTCCCTGCCTTCGGCAGGGGAAAAGTGCAGCCTGGAGCTATAGAGATGGATGCTACCCTTCCTCCACCCGAGGAGCTTAGCGTGTTAGGCAGTTTTGAGTCCCAGTGCTGGCTGCTGCCCTCCCCAAGGAGCTAAAACAGTTTAGACAGCAGACAGCTGCAGCTGTAGTGCTGGTTGCCTCTCCCTCTGGGAGTGCGGTAGGCTTAAGCAGATTCCAGCTGAGAGTCTGTTGAGAATCTGCGCAGCTCTGTGGTTGGGATGCTGGGCGCTGGTGGTGTCTACTCATGAGTGGGTTTGCCTGGCTGGGTAGCACGTTAACTCATCCCCTTCCTTGGTTGGGGGGTGGGGACTCTCCTGCTCTGTGTGACTCTCAGGTGGGCCACCACACCACACTGCTCTTTCTTCCTCTCTGTGGATCACACCAGCCTCCTAGTCAGTTCTGATGAGACAACCCAGATACCTTGGTTGCCGGTGAAGGATTCACACGCTTATTATGGTTCTTTTCGATGGGATCCTCAGATCGCCTCTTTTTCTAGTCGGCCATCTTGGCCCCACCCCTCAAGAAGATTTTATAATAAATTTAATGTAAGATTTATCAGAATCTAAAATAGTACGCTTATTAAGGCAATTTTATGTTAGAGACTATTTTGTGTTATACTTCATGGTACCCTTAGAAGAAAAGTGACTACTAAAATATTTTTATAACTGGTGTTTATAAATTCTAACATTGTTTTTAATGATCATTTTAAATGTTTTTATAATTTATTTAATTAAAAATGCATGTCAAAGTATCATTTTTATAAGAAGTAAAGTTTTCAGATTTGCTAATATTTGAATTGTAAATTTTGTATGCAGCTTATATGAAGTTCAAAAATACTGTCAGTTTACTAGTGTTTAACTTCTGTTTTCCAATTTGCGTACGCTTTGAAACTTTACTGCAAAACTATTGTGTGCTTCTTATACAATATGTATCATATTGTTGTCTATGAAATTAAAGGACATTTCATGAAGTTTGCTGAATGTAAAATATAATGCTTAATATATAAATGATAAGTTTGCTCATGGCCCTTCTGTTAATTATCCTAAATGTAGTGCTACGTAGAAGTCGTTACTTAACTGATAAATTTGTGTTTCACCCTCCTGATGAGCTTTTTTATTAAAAGTGTCTTTAAAAATAAATGAAATATAATAAAATAAGGGAAAATGTGAGGAGAAGTAAAACATGTTGAATTTTTAATGAGATTAAAGTTATGTTGTTGTTATCTTAAAACAGTCTGTTATAACTAGTCTGTTATGTTACCTTCGTGTGTTGGAAAAACTACCTTCTGGAATAGAAAATCACCCTCTATACGTGCAAGACAAGATCAGACCTAAAAATAAGGCAGACTGCTCCAGGTTTGTAAGTGGTCAAAGATTTACTCAGGGGAATTTGTATACAAGGCAGTCTTGGGTGACAACACGCTCCTGAACAACCAATGGGTATAAGAAGAAATTTAAAGAAGAAATTTAAAAATATCTTGAGACAAACAAAAATGGTGACACAATATGCCGAAACTTATGGGATGCAGCAAAAGCAGTTCTTAGAGGGACTTTTATTGCAATAAATGCCTGACTACATAAAAAAATAACTAAAATCCTAAATAAACAACCTGACATTTTACCTCAAAAAACTTGAAAAAGAAGAACAAACTAAGCCCAAGGTTAGTAGAAGGAAACAAATAAAAATATCAGTTCAGAAATAAAATACAGACTAGAAAAACAATAGAAAAGATCTGTGAAATGGAGTTTTTCAAAAAGATAAAAATGACAGCTAGGCTAATAAAGAGAAGACAAATAAATAAAAAAAAAATAAAAGAGAAACATTACAACTGATACAGAAATATGAAGAGACCACTATAAACAATTAGATGACAAAAATGGATAATCTAAAAAATATATAAATTTATAGACATATACAACATACCACGACTGAATCATGAAGAAATACAAAATTTGAACAAATAATGAGCAAGGAGATTTAATCAGTAATAAATAGTCTCCCATCCAAGAAGAGCCAAGAATCTGATGGCATCACTATTGAATTTTCCAAACATTTAAAGAACTAATGTCAGTTCATCTCAAACTCTTCCAAAATATTGAAGAGTGAATACTTTCAAACCCATTTTATGAGGACAGCTTTATTATAATACCAAAACCAGACAATGATACTATAAGAAAAATAAATTACTGATAAATATCTCTGATTAACGTGATTGCAAAAATCCTCAATAAAGATTACTAAACTGAATTCAATAGCACATTAAAAAGATTATTCATTATGACGAAGGAAGATTTATCCCAGGGAAGCAGGGATGGTTCAACATATCCAAATCTTTAAATATGATACATCACATTAACAGAATGAAGGACAAAAAGCCTATAATTATCACAATTGATGCTGGAAAAGCATTTTACAAAGTTCAATATTATTTAATGATAAAAACTTTCAACAAATTGGGTATAGGAGGAATGTGCCTCAATACAGTAATGGCCATATAAGACAAACCCACAGCTAACATATGCAACAGTGAAAAGTTAAAAGTGCTTCTCTAAAATCAGAAATAAGACAAGGATGACTACTTTTCTAACTTCTATTCAACATAGTACTGGATATTCTAGCCACAGCAATTTGGCAAGAGAAATAAATAAAAGTCATCCAAATTGAAAAAGAAAAGATAAATTTTAGAGAGAACATGATTTTATATATAGAAAATGCTAAAGACTCCACTAAAAAACTGTTAGAACTAAAAAATAAATTCAGTGAAGTTGAAAGATACAAAATTAACATACAAAAATCAATAGTGTTTCTACACCCTACCAATAAACTATCTGAAAAAGCAATTGTAGAAACAATCCCATTTACAATATCTACAAAAAATCACTCAGAAATACATTTAACTAAGAAAGTGGAAGATCTGTACACTCAAAATTATAAAACATTGCTGAAAGAAGTTAAAGAAGACACAAATGAATGGAAAGATATCCCATGTTCATGGATTGGAAGAATTAATAGTGTTAAAATGTCCATACTACCCAAACAGTTCTACAGATTCAATGAAAACTACATCAAAATTCCAATAACTTCTCTTTCTTTCTTTTCCTTCATTCCCTCCCTCTCTCTCTCCATCCCTCCCTCTCCACCTTTCTTTCTTTCTTTCTTTTCTTTCTTTCCTTCCTTCTTTCTTTCCTTTTTTCTTTCTTCCTTTCCTTTCTTTATTTTTCTTTCTGGCTTGCGTGCTTTTTCTTGCTTGCTTGCTTGCTTGCTTTCTCTTTCTTGCTTTCTTTCTTTCTGACATAAAGTCTTGCTCTGTATCCCAGGCTCAAGCAATGCTTCCTCCCCAGCATCCCTAGTAGCTAGGACTACAGATATGCACCACCATGCCTAGCTGGTAATTTACGTTTTTTTTTTTTTGTTTTTTGTTTTTTGTTTTTTTTTTGAAATAGGATCTTGTGATGTTGTCCAGGCTGGTTTCAAACTCCTAGCCTCAACTGATGCTCCCACGTCAGCCTCCCAAAGCACTGGGATACAGGCATGAGCCACTGTGCCTGAACTCAATATTTTTCAAAGAAATAAAAAAATTATAAAATTTGGAGGGATCCTCATCTGATGATACAGCTATTATGGAAAACAGTAAAAAGTTCCTCAATAATTAAAAAATAGAATTATTTTATTGGACTGGGCATGGTGTCTCATACCTGTAATCCCAGCACTTTAGGAGGCAGAGTTGGGAGCATTATTTGAGCCTAGCAGCCTGAGACCCATTTGAGCAAGATCCTACCTCTACAAAAAATAAAATAAATAAAAATAGAAATAGAAATTATTAGATGTGCATCTGCAGTCCCAGCTAGTTGAGAGGCTGAGGTGAGAGGATCACTTGGACCCAGGAGTTCAGGGCTGCAGTGAGCTATGATTGCACTACTGCACTCCATCATGGGTGACAGAACAAGTCCCTGTCCTTTAAGAAAAATAGACCTATTATATAATCCAGTAATCCCATTTCTGGGTATATGTCCAAAGGAAATAAAATCAATATACCTATGAGATATCTGCACACCCATGCTCACTGCAGCATTACTCACAATAGCCAAGATATGGAATCAACCTAAGTGTCCAGCAACAGATGAGTGGTTAAAGAAAATGGAATACTACTGAGACTTAATTAAGGGAAATCCTACATTTGCACCAACATGGACATTATGTTTAGTGACATAAGCCAGGCACAGAAAGACAAATATCATATTATCTGACTTATATGTGTAATTCAAACAAATGGATGTCATAGAATTAGATAGTAGAATGGTAGTTACAAAAGCCTGGGCATTTTTGAGGGGTGGGGTTAGGGAGATGTTAGTTAAACTATACAAAATTATAATTAGATAGGAGGAATAATTATAAAACATGATGATTGTAGTTAACAACAGTATATTTTATTGAAAATCTCAAAGAGAAAACATTTTAAGTGTTTGCACCACAAAAAAAATGAATAAGAATATTAGGTAATACATCAGTTACTTTTCTCAACTGAGCCATTCCACAATGTATACATATTTCAAAATATCATTTTTACATGATAAATATATGAAATTTTTATTAAAATAATTTCAAGTATGTAAATAATTTATATATGAATAAATAAAAAGCATGCATACTCAAATTTGTTTCATATGTTCTATTTTAAGTTCCAACCTAAAAAGTTTGACAACGCCACTTAAAGAAACTTCTCTTAGTTCAAATGATCAAATTTGGGGGGAAATATTGTTTAGCCAGCTACAAATTATCCCAGCAGTCCATACTCATTTTTCCTGACAGCGATGATATATGAGAGATTTATCAAATATTCTGCTGAAATGCAACAAGGTAGAATTTCCTGATCTGCTGTTTGTTATCTGAGCAGAGAGGAAAATATACCAATTTAGGAATGTCATAGTTCTCTCAGATCACTCTTCTTAAATATTTACAAATCATCTGTTTAGTTAGCAGGGCTAGGATTTTTTCAGGATATAATATCAAGCTGACTGTATAGTTTTTACATCTATCTTTTTCTCATTCTCTGGACATGGAAACAATATGTTCTCATTTCTAGGCTTTTATTGTCTCTCTTTTCCTTCACAGCCTTTAAAACATTACTAAATGCAGTTATGTGGTAATACTTGATTCACAACTTGTTTTAAGTTTTCTTCCTCACCTTTTAAGGCTTGAGTTAATTTTTTCAGTGTTCACTCTATCTTTCAAAAATGAAATATCTAAATAATGTCTAAGTGTTGAACAATTCTGCTTTATGTGCTTTCATTGTTGTATTTAACCATATGACTTCCCATGTTGCCTTGGCTCCCAATGAACTACTTTCAACACAGTTAAGAAAAAAACAAGAACAATAACCCAGATACTGTTAAAATCTAACAAATATATTAGAAAGATACATGCAATGAAAAAGTAATAAATAATATCCTCCAAATAATGACAATATGTTTTAATATAAAGTCTTAATAGATAAATGAACAAAGGACATTGTCTTAGTCTGTTTTGTGTTGCTATAACAAAATACCACAGACTGGGTGTGTTACTCCGTTTTCGTGCTGCTGATGAAGACATATGCAAGACTGGGAAGAAAAAGAGGTTTAATTGGACTTACAGTTCCACATGGCTGGGGAGGCTTCAGAATCATGGCGGGAGGCTAAAGGCCCTTCTTACATAATGGTGACAAGAGAAAATGGGAGAAGCAAAAGTAGAAACCCCTGATAAAACCATCAGATCTCATGAGACTTATTCACTACCATGAAGACAGCATGAGGGAAACTGCCCCCATAGTTCAAATTATCGCCCACTGGGTCCCTCCCACAACACGTGGGAATTATGGGAGTACAATTCAAGATGAGATCTGGATGGGGACACAAAGCCAGACCATATCACTGGGTAATTCATGAAGAAAAAAATTTCTCACAATTTGGGAGCCTGGGAAGTCTCATATCAAGGTGCTGGCATCTGGTGAGGACCTTTGTGCTGTGTTATCCCATGGTGGAAGGCATTTAATGGGGAGAAACTATCTGTGAGAGGGCTGAACTCCCTTTTATAATAAACCCATTTTAATGATAACAAATCCACTTCTGCAATAAGAACATTAATTTATTCATGAGGTCAGAGTTTTCATGACCTAATCACATCTTAAAGGTCCCATCTCTCAATACTGATGCATTGGGGATTAAGTTTCTAACAAATAAGCTTTGGGGGATGAATTCAAACTCCAGTAGGCATGAATTTTAATTTTTCCAAAGAAGGTCCATAAACTTCTAAAAAGCATTAAAAAAATCAACACCTTCAAAAACTAGGTAAATATAAATTAAAACACAATGAGATGGCTTTTTCTAAGCATCAGACTAGCCAAGAGTTTAAAAACTTTTATATAATGCTCTTGGAGAAGATTTTTGATAATATTATTGGACATAAGAGTGTTCAAAATTATCTAAAAGTACATGTTCAACATTGACTGTTCTTGAAAGTTCTTAAGGTGGCTTACAAAAATATGCAAATGAAAAGTAGTATAAATAAGAATGGGAGCAAAAGTATAATGGACTGGCAGCATAAAATATCACTAGACTAGGCTTTAAAAAATAATACTATAATATGTATACTTGTCCTCTGTTCTACATTCAAGCTTCACAAAAGAGTATCTGACTGGTAGAACCTAAATCATTCTGAAGTTTAGCTGCAAGGGAACCTAGGAAATGTAGTTATTACTTTCCAGCTTCTGCAGCAAAGGTAAACACTCAAGGAGGAACAGGTAAACACTGTCAATATCTGTTAGAACAGATATTGAGTTTGTCTATCTACCATGTGGGCTCCAAAGTAATAGATAAGCATAATTTTTAAGCTGAGGGAAGGAAACAAATTTTATAGTAGAAATGTTTGCTATTTCCCTTAATATTAAGGCAGATCTCAGCTCACTGAGATCTTGCACCTTATTTATAATCTTTTTTTCAGTTGAGTGTCACTCTTTCGTATTTGTCAGCGCCTTCTTCCATTTTGTTGTTCGTGTATTTTTCAGCAAAATAAAGTTTAAATCAGTTCTCTTGACATTCCATTGATATTTTAGACAGCTCTTTGATATTTTCCTCAACAAAAACATTGTGATTGCACCACTGAAACACTGTGATATGTATGTAACAGACAAAAATATAAATATGCAGTGGAGAAAAGTTCTTAATGTGCATCTTCAGAATTTCCCCGTTTCCAATTCACATTCTTGTTCCATTAAATCCTTGAGCATGCATTTTGTAGAGAATTAGAACAATGAGTGAAGCAAGTGAACTTAAAAGAAGCCCAGAGAGGTCAGATTTACTCACACAGTTCAGAGCTTAGAGAAAGTGGGGCTATGGAAACAAAAGAATATTAAATGTTTTGCCTGTAGGTTTTTGGTGATGAGTGAATTGGGGAAATGAGTAGAATTGGTGGTCGTAAGTGAATCTCTTGTGAGTGCCCCCTGAGAGAAGACAGCAGTGATGAAAATTACATTTATTTTTGATTCATACCCTATAATTGTTTGAATTTAACAGCTCATCAGTGAGGCTGGTTCAAATAAGCTCCTGGCTCATATATAAATTTTAGAACTTTCCTGCTTTCTCTTGTGGGCATTTAGTGCTATAAATTTCCCTCTACACACTGCTTTAAATGTGTCCCAGAGATTCTGGTACATTGTGTCCTTGTTCTCATTGGTTTCAAAGAACATCTTTATTTCTGCCTTCATTTTGTTATGTACCTAGTAGTCATTCAGGAGCAGGTTGTTCAGTTTCCATGTAGTTGAGCATTTCGAGTGAGTTTCTTAATCCTGAGCTCTAGTTTGATTGCACTGTGGTCTGAGAGACAGTTTGTTATAATTTCTGTTCTTTTACATTTGCTGAGGAGTGCTTTACTTCAAACAATGTGGTCAATTTTGGAATAAGTGTGATGTGGTGCTGAGAAGAATGTATATTCTGTTGATTTGGGGTGAAGAGTTCTGTAGATGTCTATTAGGTCCACTTGATCCAGAGTGGAGTTCAAGGCCTGAATATCCTTGTTAATTTTCTGTCTCATTGATCTGTCTAATGTTGACAGTGGGGTGTTAAAATATCCCATTATTATTGTGTGGGAATCTAAGTCTCTTTGTAGGTCTCTAAGGACTTGCTTTATGAATGTGGGTGCTCCTGTATTGGGTGCATATATATTTAGGATAGTTAGCTCTTCTTGTTGAATTGATCCCTTTACCAATATGTAATGGCCTTCTTTGTCTCTTTTGATCTTTGTTAGTCTAAAGTCTGTTTTATCAGAGACTAGGATTGCAACCCCTGCCTTTTTTTGTTTTCCATTTGCTTGGTAGATCTTCCTCCATCCCTTTATTGTGAGCCTATATGTGTCTCTGCACGTGAGATGGGTCGCCTGAATACAGCACACTGATGGGTCTTGACTCTTTATCCTATTTGCCAGTCTGTGTCTTTTAATTGGAGCATTTAGCCCATTTACATTTAAGGTTAATATTGTTATGTGTGAATTTGACACTGTCATTATGATGTTAGATGGTTCTTTTGCTCATTAGTTGATGCAGTTTCTTCCTAGCATTGATGGTCTTTACAATTTGGCATGTTTTTGCAGTGGCTGGTACCAGTTGTTCCTTTCCATGTTTAGTGCTTCCTTCAGGTGCTCTTGTAAGGCAGGCCTGGTGGTGACAAAATCTCTCAGCATTTGCTTGTCTGTAAGGGATTTTATTTCTCCTTCACTTAGGAAGCTTAGTTTGGCTGGATATGAAATTCCAGGTTGAAAATTCTTTTCTTTAAGAATGTTGAATATTGGCCCCCACTCTCTTCTGGCTTATAGAGTTTCTGCCAGGAGATCCACTGTTAGTCTGATGGGCTTCCCTTTGTAGGTAACCCGACCTTTCTTTCTGGCTGCCCTTAACATTTTTTCCTTCATTTCAACTTCGGTGAATCTGATGATTATGTGTCTTGGAGTTGCTCTTCTTGAGGAGTATCTTTGTGGTGTTCTCTGTATTTCCTGAATTTGAATGTTGGCCTGCCTTGCTAGACTGGGGAAGTTCTCCTGGATAATATCCTGAAGAGTGTTGTCCAACTTGGTTCCATTCTCCCCATCACTTTCAGGTACACCAATCGGACATAGATTTGGTCCTTTCACATAGTCCCATATTTCTTGGAGGCTTTGTTCATTTCTTTTTACTCTTTTTTCTCTAAACTTCTCTTTTCACTTCATTTCATTCATTTGATTTTCAATCACTGATACTCTTTCTTCCAGTTGATCAAATCGGCTACTGAAGCTTGTGCATGTGTCACGTAGTTCTTATGCCATGGTTTTCAGCTCCATCAGGTCATTTAAGGCCTTCTCTACATTGGTTATTCTAGTTAACCATTCACCTAATCTTTTTTCAAGGTTTTTAGCTTCTTTGCCAAGGGTTCGAACATCCTCTTTAGCTCAGAGAAATTTGTTATTACCGATCGTCTGAAGCCTTCTTCTCTCAACTCGTCAAAGTCATTCTCCGTCCAACTTTGTTCTGTTGCTGGCAAGGAGATGCATTCCTTTGGAGGAGAAGAGGCACTCTGATTTTTAGAATTTTCAGCTTTTCTGCTGAAAATTCTCATCTTTGTGGTTTTATCTACCTTTGGTCTTTGATGATGGTGATGTAGAGATGGGGTTTTGGGTGGATGTCCTTTCTGTTTGTTAGTTTTCCTTCTAACAGTCAGGACCCTCAGCTGCAGGTCTGTTGGAGTTTGCTGGAGGTCCACTCCAGACACTCTTTGCCTGGGTATCACCAGCGGAGGCTGCAGAACAGCAAATATTGCAGAACGGCAAATGTTGCTGTCTGATCCTTCTTCTGGAAGCTTTGTCTCAGAGGGGCACCCAGATGTATGAGGTGTCAGTCTGTCCTTACTGGGATTTTTTCTCCCACTTAGGCTACTCAGGGGTCTGGGACCCACTTGAGGAGGCAGTCTGTCTGTTCTGAGATCTCAAACTCCGTGCTGGGAGAAGCACTACTCTCTTCAAAGCTATCAGACAGGGACGTTTAAGTTTGCAGAAGTTTCTGCTGCCTTTTGTTCAACTATGCCCTGCCCCCAGAGGTGGAGTCTACAGAAACAGGCAGGCCTCCTTGAGCTGTGGTGGGCTCCACCCAATTTGAGCTTCCTGGCCGCTTTGTTTACCTACTCAATCCTCAACAAAGGTGGATGCCCCTCCCCCAGCCTCACTGCTGCCTTGCAGTTCAATCTCAGACTGCTGTGCTAGCAGTGAGCAAGGCTCCATGGGCTTGGGACCCTCCGAGCCATGCGTGGGATATAATCTCCTGGTGTGCCATTCGCTAAGACCATTGGAAAAGAACAGTATTAGGGTGGGAGTGTCCTGATTTTCCAGGTATCATCAGTCATGGCTTCCCTCTGCTAGGAAAGGGAATTCCCTGACCCCTTGTGCTTCCCAGGTGAGGTGATGCCCTGCCCTGCTCTATGGGCTGCACCTACTGTCTGACAAGCCCCAGTGAGATGAACCTGGTACCTCAGTTGGAAATGCAGAAATCACTTGTCTTCTGCATCACTTACCCTGGGAGCTGCAGACTGGAGCTGTTCCTATTTGGCCATCTTGGAACCTCCCTCTGGCTCATATGCAAATTGCATGTAATGTTTAAGCAAAGTGGCCCAATAATAGAAAAAAAATGCTATCCCTATGTTTACATTAGGGTTTTTCTACCCAATTCATCCTGGTTCAGACAGGATAGGAAAAGGAAGATTTTTATATAACAGGCTGTTAAAATATTAGAGATACAGATAAAATCCTGGCCAATTTTCGGTAGTGAAATACAGCTCACAGCATGTTCAATGACCTAGAAGCTTTATAGTATGGGTAGGTTGTAATAAAAGAGTGTGGTGGTGGTGAAAGATGAGCCTGGGGAAGAAGATGAGGCCATGTTAGGAAGGATCTAGTAGGAAGATTTTATTCCATTCTAAGAGCATAGGGTTTTAAGCAGGTGACTGAAAGAATCAAATTTGCGTTTCAAAAAGATCACTCTAATTATAGTGTGGAGAATGGATTAGTGGAATAAAACTAGAACAGTAAGAGGAGCACCAGTGAAGTAATTACTTTAATAATCCAGTAGAGAGATCATGGCTTTATTTGGGTAGACATGGTAGAAATTGAGGCAAGTGGGTAGAGCCCAAAGCTTTGGGGAAGTAGTTTGTTTTCTAAGGTTTGGTGATTGCTTGGATGTAGGGCATGAGAGGGAGGGTAGAACTGATGGTAGTGTCTAAAGTTCTGGGCTGAGTAGATAGTGTAGTTGAGAGGCAATTTATGAGAAGAGGCAGTTGTGTTTTTTTTTTTTTCTGGGAAATATGACACATTCATTTTAGGGATATGGTGCATCTGAGATATTTGTTCGATTAAACATGCAAGTCTGCAGCTGAGTTTTATATAGTATCAATTCCATTGCTGTCTATTGCTGATTTTACAGATTCCTTTTTTGAAATGCTTTTAACTATACTTTTTTTTCAAAATGTCTACCACTTTCTAGTATCAAGTCATGTGGTGACAAAATAATGAAAAAAAGTACTTGATGGTCATCACAAGCTGTTCCACATCTGCTCTTCCTACACAGACCTCAGGTAATTGCCCTCCAAAAGAATTTCCATGAAATTCTATAGGGTTTTTCTATCATCTTAAGCAAAACATTAAAGAGTAAAGTGTGAACTCTGCATTAAAAATGAACTTACTATCAACTTTTCTCTCCTTGCTATTCTTTTTCCTGTTTTTACAACATGCTACCAAAAGAAGCTATGAAAAGCCACCTACATCCTAATGGTGTATTCTCATTAGTGATGACAGCAAGATTAAATTCCCAAATGTGGTTGCCCACAAAACATGTATTTTAACTTTGTTTTAGGTTTTTTTGTATTTTCTTTTTGGAGAGTAACTATTAAAAGTGTTGAGGCTGATTTGATTATGAAGCATGAAATCCACTGTATGTATAAAATGAATTGAGAGTCTAGGTTTAATGAGTGAGGGTTTAAGTGTAGTTTTTCTAAACAGATAAGCACACATAAATGTAACACATCCCTTTTTAAATGTAACAACTAGAATTTGAATTAAAGTATGACTAAAAATGGAGGTAACCACTTAGAAATCTTGATGATCAATTTTTGTGTTAGCCACATTTTGGCTTAGAGTGAGAAAACAAGAAAACCTTATTTATTATTTAAGTGACTATTGATCCACAGCTATACACTACTTAGTTGACACAATGTATTTCAACAGTACAATTATTTTTTGTTCAATAAATATTAATTAAGAAGTAGTGATCATGATGAATTCATCAGTCAACCATGTCTCCTGTGATAGCTTGTTTTATTCCTCCTTTAAACCCTATTATGAAAAATAAATTGTTTGTGTGATAGAGCTCACTCTGATGCAGGTGATTCATAATGTCAAAGCTGCTCTCACTTTGACTTTATTCCAGAATAGAAAATAGATTATGCCACACAAACACACAATTGAGAGCAGAGGACTTTTTCTTAAGCTTAACTTTGGAGTTGATTTGGCCTATTACATGCCTTATTGCATTTTGTTCAGAATGTTGTATAACTCAGTTTGCTATTATAGCTTCTTTTCTGCCGAGAATATTCAGACAGCCTAATTTATCCTTTGGTGCCAGAAACGGCATGAATAATGTGCTGTCTAGAATATAAGGGGAAGAAGGAATCAACTTAATCACTTTTCTGGCATTTTTCCTTAAGCTGGCTACATGATTTTTTCAGGCTGCCTCCAGAGCATGCTACACTGTGGTCTACAAAGACTAGTCTTAGCTGGAGGAAGGTTCCAGGTGCCTCTGAGTGGCCACAGTTCCTTCTGCTCTTTCTCCTTATTTCATATTTTATTCTCCTCTCTCCTCTTCCACTGACACCTGACATGTACCAGGAACAAACTAAAGACATTAATAATAGCAGTCAAAGTTTGGTGGAAGAAAGAAAATTAAGTAAAATATAAAATGTAAAAATGATATTCCTTCTTATACTCAGCTGCTTCTTCTCTACTTGTTTCTGTCTCATGACAATGAAGTAGTATAATGGAACTAGAGCTACTTCCTGCATAGAGGTGCCCCTCCATTGGAAGAATAAAACAATGTAAAGATAGGGGATGGCATAGGTCACCTTTGCTTTAAGTTTTAAGGAATAATGTCTCTTTCCTTTTATCCATGTAAGAAGAATGGTGAGGACCAGAGGAGCAAGTGAAGAACAGAAGAGATTCTTCCTTAGGCCTCTACTCTAAGTCTAGGTCTCACAGCAACTCATGTTGTCCAAATCCAGCTGGTGTAACAGGGAAGACAGATCTATAGGGAAGACAGATCTATCTGGTCTAACAGTGTTTATGAATCTTGGAGCAAGAGTCAGACAAGGATTGTGTCATACAGTCTTTTTATGCTGGTGTTTAGCATGCACAGAACCTAGGATATTGCAGGAACTCAACAAGTATTCGTTTGGCTAATCAAATTATCTGGTATGGATTAATTGATCAAATTAGTAATTTATTGTCTGGCATATCCTTAATTTATATCATGAAAACTGGTTAAAAGGAGGCAATTGGGTGAAGGAATATAAATCATAGAAAGACTGGTCTTTCTGGCTGCATCTGATACAACTAGAATATCCCAAAAAGAAATGTTAGCTAACCTGATCATTGAAGATAGAGTTGATGCCTCTGGAACATGCTGGTCTTTTTCCAACCAAAGAAGAACAGTTGCCAATCAGAAAATTATATTTTGTCTGCTCTTGCTGGTTACAATAAAAGTAGGCCCTGCTTTGTAAAAGGACCTGTGGCCTTTGGCCAAACCATCACATGGATGTAAGCAGATAAGGTTATCACCTATATGGTGTGAAAGGGCCCTAGCAGAAATATTTTTCCTGACAACTCTCAGTATGCCTAAAATTTAAAAACTACAGATGTGAATGCTTTTGGTCTTCAAATGTCTTCATCTATAATGCATAGACCTAAAACTGTTATTAGACAAACTCTTATTTGAGGGATGATCTCTTAGGAGTGGTTAATAGACAAGAATATGTCTAATTCTCTCAGACCATCTGTTTCCATTTGTTCAATGCCATTATATGGACACTGAGGTACTGCAGACCTTATCTGCTTTTCTTGGGCATATTTTATATTTAAATTTGGATATCGTATATTATTGTGCAAATGTCCTTTCTTAAACCCTTAAATAGTAAGACGCTTAAAACATCAAATTTTTAGGAACTAGGAAGCTATTTGTAATCACAGCATTACAGAATTTTAAAAAGGGAAGATAACATAGGGATTGGCAAAACATTGTTGCTTCTTGGGCTTTTGATCAAGTTCTAGTGTGATATCAAGTTCAGCTGCTTTATTTTACAAATGGTGAAATGAAAATACGTAGAGATTAAGTTACTGCTTTAAGTCTGCACAGACAGAGGCCAAACTCGACAAACTAGATCAAGAGTTGACAGAGGTGTGGACTTCCTGTTCCTAGTTCTGTGTGTAAGCAGCTTGGAAGTCACCACTCTGTCCAAACAACAAATAAAAAGCTGAACAAACTGAAACATTGAAAACTCTTCTTAGATCTGTAAAAGAAGTGAGGTCGCAGGGCAAACCACTGCTGCAGAATTAGAGAGACAGAGAGGCAGATACAGAGCATCACAACATACCAGAGCAGAAACCCACAGAACCAGTGTCACCATGGGGAAACCTGAGCTGTAATTGATGAAATGCTGGAGGCTCAGTGTGGAAAAGGATGAGAGTTAAAAACTCCCATGGGACCCAGTCATATGGGGGCACCCAGGCTTTGTGTGTGTGTGAGTTCTACTTCCAGGAGCTCACCTAGGTTTTTACAGTAAATAACAAAGAAAATTCTCCTAGTGCTTCCGCCAGGGGGAGAGGAAGAAGAACCATTTCAAAATATACCAGATTTTATTATTAATGAGGTTTGGCCTCAGGAGAAACTACTTAACCAGAGCTTAACCTGCTGGGGCTTTTATCAGAGATTAACCTATCAGAGAGAAGGAAAATGCCCAACCCTAGCTTACTCCAGCCATCCTGTCTCACCTAAGGCAGGGTAGATAAACACTTAGAAACACTTGTAAAGTTCACAGTCCAGAGCCATAGACTCCCTAAAAGGCTGAGAGAAACCCAATCATAGGACAAGCAAATGCTTCCATTCTCCTCCTTGCACATGTCGCCATCACATTACTGAAGGCTTATTTCCAGCAGTTTCTTTTATCTAGTAAATCATGTCTGGCCATCAAGAGTCGATAGAGGTGCAAGCTTTCCTCTGATTATTCTAGTGTAGCCTCCCTCCAACAATTTCATCTAGTTGCTTTTCCTGGCTACTTCCTTTCTTAGTTGGAAGCTAATGATTTCAAAAGAAAAAATGAAGCATGCAACTTTGGGTGCATAAGCCTTTCAATTTACGATTATAAGAATTCAGTTCGTAATATTACAATGGAAAGAGATTGAAAGGGGAACCAGAAGACCTGGTTTCCAGTACTAACTTCATCGCTATCCATATTGTGCACCACAATTTGAATCATATCATTTCACCTCACCTTTACCCTCCTTTGAAAAATGAAAAGGTTGACTAACTGATTGTTAGTTTTTCTTTTAACTCTAAAACATCACAGCTCTTAACAAAAGGGATCATTCTTGCAAAGGCCAATGTTGATGATGTAAGATAGTTTTCTCCTTTTCTACCTAATTCAATACAATATTAACTAAGTTTAGATACTAGAAACTGGCACATGTCAGGCTGTCAGTATCAAAATATATTTCATTAAATCAGAGTTTAGAATATCTGTATTTCTCAATTTCCATGTATTCCTGATTAAGTCATTCTCACCCTGGAGTCCTAAATACTTTGCCTTGGGAAAAGGAGGGAGGGATTTAGATATGTAGGTTTTAACAGGTAAAAACATAAAATTTATCTTAAGTCTCTGTTTTATCCTTAATAATCATGTAAATGCTGCATCTGATTTCACACTATCTTTTTAAAATAAAATATGTTTTAAATTATTACTATGTATTACAATTCATGCATCTGGAAGGTATATTGTATTTATCTGTGGCTTTTAGGACTCACATTCCCTCACACACAGACCATCACTGTAGCCTGGGGTTATTAATATCTAATTTTGAAAAGTGTGATATTTCTACCCCTCCCCCAGGGAACTATATTCCCTGTAGATCAGGCGGAGAATGGAATCATATAAAATTCATTTTATTTTGCTTTCTAATCTAATTTTTTGGCTTAAACAAGATTAGTGATAACTGCTTTTTTAAGAACGTGATTGCTTCATAAATGGTTGATTTTTTGAACAATTTAATTATATTGAAAATTAAATAAATAGGACAGAATATGTTATTTTTTTTTTTTTTGAAGTTTTATCTAGAAGCATTAGTTGGTAATGGACTAAGTAAGGGAACACTGACATGAACAGAGCTAGGGTTTTAGGAGAATGCCTGAATACCTGGAAAGAAAAGAGTGCAGCTAAACAAGGAGGAGAGATATGGCCACCTCTCAGGCTTTACAGACTCTCATCAGTCCTCTGCCTAAGGTCCTTCAAGGCTAAAGAGCAAACCTAGCCTCTGCATACTCAATAGCAAAATCCAAATACATCACACACTGTTTACGCAGATGAGATGGATAGCTTTTTTGAAAACTTCTTTAGAGAATTCAAGCACTCCGGTGTGGGCCAAGGAACCTTTAATATTTTACAAGGCAAGAAAAACAGCTGTGGTTAAAAGCACAGGTCCTACAGTTGCATTGACTCACTTTAAATCCTGGTTCTGGCAATTATGTCTCTGTAACTTTTGCCAGTTTTCCGAGTTTTCATGTGCCTTAGCTCCTCATTTGTAAAATGAGGACAGTAAAGGTACCTCTCTCACGTAGAGCTGCAGGCGAGGTTACATGAGATGCTATGTATAAAGCATTTAGAATAGTGTCTAGCATGCGGTTACTGTCAGTTATTATTATGCAGTGCCTAAAAACCCAGAAATAGGATATATAAAGATATGCCCATTTGTTTGAAAGATCATTTCATGTTTTTCATGCAATTAATGTATGCATTTACACAATTTTCCATATTATGTCACAGGAAAATATATGTGCTGTGAAAACTAATTTTGCTGATGCTTTGGCTTCCCATAACATAATATAAGAATACTCCTAAGCTTTCTGGAAAACTTTAACTTCATTAATATGAGATATATTAGTCTACGGCCTTCAGGGATGAATAGAATAAAAGGTATCTCCCAGTTGTAAACCACAGGTCTTAAAATTAATTAAATAGTGGGTAACTCTGTTAGAGCAAGTCAAGGTATACTTATATAGTTTTTGAAATGCATATCAATTTTTGTATAAGAATTCTCTGCCCAATATTAAAGTGCCCAAACAACTTATAAAGAAAGCATATATTGAAGGAAGGTGTAGACCATTGTCTGAGGACCATGTTTTTTTTTAAAAGGACTTAAAATTAAATGGTTAATGATCCAATTCTCCCTGGTATATTTAGTACTGTGAATTTCTGCTATGGAAATTTAATACATGCTATTAATTCTAATTCAGGCATTGTATTAGTGTCTAATATCAATGCCTCTAAGACTAATGTGTCTTAGAAGAAAATTTTCATAATATTTCTCTCAAATTGATTTTAGTTAGGTTCTCTTATTCTGAAGTCACATTTTTACCAAACTGACTTTGTTTGGAACAGACTTCAGACTTCCCTTTTTTGAATTTAACTGATATGGGCCAAATTAAAGGGTCTATAATTTTTAAGGTTGAATATTTATTGGAAAAATAGAAAAAGAAGATAAAAATGTGTTTCCTTTTTACATGATGTGGCTTCAGACTCTGGTCTTACCATCTTTCTGCATTAACTACTCATTAATTCAATGAGAAATAAATGTGCTCATTGCACTAAATTGATTATAATTTGCCCGAGTTGATATTACTTTTCTTTCTTTCTTTTTTTTTTTTTTTTCTTGAGACGGAGTCTTGCTCTGTTGCCCAGGCTGGAGTGCAGTGGCACCATCTTGGCTCACTGCAAGCTCTGCCTCCCGGGTTCACCCATTCTCTTGCCTCAGCCTCCCGAATAGCTGGGACTACAGGTGCCCGCCACCACGCCCGGCTAATTTTTTGTATTTTTAGTAGAGACGGGGTTTCACCGCATTAGCCAGGATGGTCTCGATCTCCTGGCCTTCGTGATCTGCCTGCCTCAGCCTCCCAAAGTGCTGGGATTACAGGCGTGAGCCACCGTGCTCGGCTGATATTACTGTTTTTATAAGCCTACTATCCTATCTTTAAAAGGTTGAATCTTCTAAAACTTTATCAAACACACGCGCACACACACACACACACACACACACACACAAGGATATGCCATTTAAGAACTAGAACTGCCTGTTAATTTACTACCTTAGTTTCTCATGCAAATCATTTTCAAATCCCATTATGATTTTTCTATTTCCAAAATTGAATACTTTTAGTAAACTGCTAAAATTGATTAGAATTTTCAAACATGATTTTCCCATTATTATATTTAATTTTATTTTCTTAGAGACAAAAAGGTGATCCTAGTTTTCTTTTTAAAACACAGATGAATGGTATAAAATTTAAGAATGTGAAATGGGAATTCCGTCCAATGTTAGTAATTCCTACTTATTTCAATGATATTATCTTTCTGTAATGCTCATGATAACCAGAAAGAAATGTAAGCCTCCCCATGGTTCCTGAATCTTGACCTGTATTTCATTTTATACTGTTATCTGTAGCATATTTTGGAGTGATTTGCTTGAGACTCTAGGAATATTCATTTTCCTGATTACTTTCCTTGATTATGTAGGTAGATCACAGATGTTGGAAATTTGAACATACTTTATAGTTATATATAGAATTTACTATATTTTTGAAAATATGATTTTAATCATTTTAAAACATAATGATAGCTTGTGTTTTTTTTAGTGTCTTTTTCTCAGGCACTTATTTTATATTTCCTGACATTTGTGAAGTGGAAAGAAAGGCAATATGCCATTAACTTTATTTTTACTCAAAATTGATTATGATTTGTCCCTGCTGACATGGCTATACCTGTGAGACTCCGATGTGTCTCGCATTTTTTCATTTGAAACTGCTCTTCTAAACAACTTCATGTACCAGTACCATTTGGTTGTATTAGATGCTATGCTGTTGATGTGTCCCATGTAGTAGGCTATGACACTGATGTTCAAAGCACTGTCCTAGGATTGTGGTGAACCAATCACTTCATCCAAGAACCAGCATGTGGAAGATATGAGCAAATAATAGGAACACCAGAATTTAATATCTGCCTTTATTGTTTTCATTTCTGGAAGAAAATAATATGTAAATAATTGTCCCTTATGAATTATTATAAAAGATGAGAGGAAAACAATGGGTATTCATCAAAACTTCAGTGTTTTCAGAGAACACTAATTTATAATGTTTTTGCATTTAACATCTACTGAACTATTATAGTTTCACCCCTGGCCACGTAACTACCAAACACCAGTTTAGGTGGCAAGAACTAACGTCTAATTTGATAATAGTGATGATAATAGCTGTAGAATAAACAAAACAGGAAGGCGAATGATTAAGATACTTCATGTGATTTGTAGGTTACATATGAAGTCACACTGAAATAAACTTATCTGAAATCATTTATTCATTTTACCTTTTCCTTTTTATATGCTTTTTCATTTTTTATTGAATTTTTATCACTACTCATAAATAAAATAAAGCCCATATGAAAATCATTGAATTAACTGCTACCATTTTATTCAACAGATGTAAAGTACATATTTACATATTAGATTGGCCTGATTTCTGAAAGTTCTGATGAGGATTTAACTTATTATTTAAATGCTATTCCTTATCAAAAGGAAACCTGTAATGGCAAGAAGCATAGACAGTTTACATAGATAGATACATAGGCTTGAACTAATCCCAAAAATCTCTTGAAATTGAAGAAATCATAGAACAAACTGTATTTTTCATCAGAAGTAAATGCATGTGGTCTCATTGGAGAGATGTCACAAAAACCTGAAAAGTAATATCTGTCCATGACAGGTATTTCTTTCATTACTATATATAAAATACTATTTAACATATCTAAGTGTATTATAAAAGACAGTAAAATGTTTATGTACATAGTTCTGATTCATCTTCCTATCCTTCTCTATAGTCTTTCTACAGTGGCTAGTGCAAATTTGGGACATATCTATTTGTAGGATAGAAAGAAAAGAAAATTAAGAGATAAAGAGAAGTGAGGAAGAGAAGGAAGCCAAAGATTAAGCAAAAACAAAATGAAGAAGAGAAAGTATTTATGCAGCCAATACCTTTCTTCAATATAGGAAGTATTATGAAGAAAATAATTGCAAATACATTGCTAGGGAAGCCAAGTGGCATTTTATTTCATAAATCTGTATTTCGTATGAACAGACAATGGATTCCAAAAATACACCAACCCCATGGCTACTTATTTTAACACCCAGCTGATTCTTTGATGCAGACCCCATGTGGCCTTTCAGTTGCACTAATGCTCAGATCTTCCATTCAAACACTTTTGAATACTTGGAAATATCTTAGGGTTCATAGGTATATATTTAAGTTTAATCTAATATACAGTTTAACAAAGTGAGAACCAGTGATATAATACCTGATATAAATGCCATTGTTCATCATTAAAATGCCTCTCTTCAAAAATTCAGAAAGAAAAAAGTGAAGTATATATTTGACAGAGATTATTCAAGTGGCTCATACATTTTACTAGGTAGAATCCTTTTGCAATTGTGTGTGAATGTGCTTACCTAGCAACTGTCTTTATATTTTTTATAGCATACACATATATGACTATTTTTACATTTATATGAGAGAATCTCTTTCTCTCTCTCTCTCTCTCTCTCTCTGTCTCCCTCTCTGTTCTGCTTCTGGTGTGGAGAGTTAGTGATGATTGTTATCATTTCCAAATACTAAGAATTGATATCCCTGGGGTCCCAGAGTTTAACTGTGAGGACTAAGCCTATATTAAACGACTTTAAATTTTGTTCCAGGGAATTTCTACCCAGGAAAATAAAGCTGTAATGTCTAACTTTATTGTTTGCTTCTGAAACTCCAGACAAACCCATTTGTCCAACCAATGGAGTTCTAGACTGATATGGTTTGGTGTGTCTCCACCCAAATCTCATCTTGAATTCCCACATGTTGTAGGAGGGACCCTATGGGAGGTAATTGAATCATGGGGGCAAGTCTTTCCCATGCTGTTCTCATGAGAGTGAATAAGTCTCACAAGATCTGATGGTTCTATAAGGGGGAGTTCCCCTGAACAACTCTTCTCTTGTCTGCTGCCATGTGAGACATGCCTTTCACCTTCCACTATGGTTGTGAGGCCTCCCCAGCCATTTGGAACTGTAAGTCCATTAAACCTTTTTATCTTCCCAGTCTCGGGTGTGTCTTTATCAGCAGCATGAAAACTGACTAACACAGTAAATTGGTAACAGGAATGAGGTGCTGCTGAAAAGATATCTGAAAATGTGGAAGCAACTTTGGAACTGGATAACAGGCAGAGGTTGGAACAGTTTGGAAGACTCAGAAGAAGACAGGAAAATGTGGGAAAGTTTGTAACTCCCTAGAGACTTTTTGAATGGCTTTGACCAAAATGCTGACAATGATATGGACAATGAAATCCTGGATGAGGTGGTCTCAAATGGAGATGAGGAACTTGTTGGGAACTGGAGTAAAGGTGACTCTTGTTATGTTTTAGTGAAGAGACTAGCAGCATTTTGCCCTAGGCCTAGAGATTTCTGTAACTTTGAACTTGAGACAGGTGATTTAGGGTGTCTGGTGGAAGAAATTTCTAAGCAGCAAAGCATTCAAGAAGTGACTTGGAGGCTGTTAAAGGCATTGAGTTTTAAAAGGAAAACAGAGCATAAAAGTTTGGGAAATTTGCACCCTGACAATGTGATAGAAAAGAAAATCTCATTTTCTGAGGAGAAATTCAAGCTGGCTGCAGAAATTTGACCAAGTAACAAGGAGCCAAATGTTAACCCCCAAGACAATGGGGAAAAATGTCTCCAGGGCACGTCAGAGAACTTTGCAGCAGTCCCTCCCATCACAGGCCCTGAGGTTTAGGAGAAAAAATGGTTTCGTGGGCCAGGCTCAGGGTCCTTCTGCTGTGTGCAGTCCAGGGACTTGGTGCTCTGCATCCCAGCAACTCCAGCTATGACTAAAAGGGGCCAAGATACAGTTTGGGCTGCCGCTTCAGAATGTGGAAGCCCCAAGCCTTGGCAGCTTCCATGTAGTATTGAGCCTGTGGGTGCACAGAAGTCAAGAATTGAGGTTTTGGAACCTCTGCCTAGATTTCAGAGGGTGTATGGAAATGCCTGTATGCCCAGGCAGAAGTTTGCTACAGGGGCAGGGCCCTCATGGAGAACTTCTGCTAGGGCAGTGGAGAAGGGAAACATGGGGCTGGAGCCCCCACACAGAGTCCCTACTGGGGCACCACCTAGTGGAGCTGTGAGAAGAAGGCCACCATCCTCCAGACCCCAGGATAGTAGATCCACTGACAGCTTGTGCCGTGCACCTGGAAAAGCTGTAGACGCTCAATGCCAACCCAAGAAAGCAGTCAGGAGGTGGGATATACTATGCAAAGCCACAGGGGCAGAGCTTTCAAGGCCATAGGAGCCCACCTATTGCATCAGTGTGACCTGGATGTAATGGAGTCAAAGGAGGTCATTTTGGAGCGTTAAAATTTGACTGCCCCACTGAATTTCAAACTTCCATGGGTCCTGTAGCCCTTTTATTTTGGCCAATTTCTCCCATTTGAAATGGCTGTGTTTACCCAATGCCTGTACCCCATTGTATCTAGGAAGTAACTAACTTGCTTTTGATTTTACTGGCTTATACACGGAAGGGACTTGCCTTGTCTTGAAGGAGACTTTGGACTGTGGGCTATTGAGTTAAGGATGAAATGAGTTAAGACTTTGGGAGACTGTTGGGATGGCATGATTTGTTTTGAAATATAAGGACATGAGATTTGGGAGGGGCCAGGGTTGGAATGATATGGTTTGGCTTTGTCCCCACCCAAATTTCATCTTGAATTCCCACATGTTGTGGGAGGGACCCAGTGGGAGGTAACTGAATCATTGGGGCAGGCCTCTCTTGTGCTGTTCTCATGATAGTGAATAAGTATCACGAGATCTGATGGTTCTATAAGGGGGAGTTTCCCTGCACAAGCTCTCTTTTCTTGTCTGCCACCATATGAGATGTGCCTTTCACCTTTTGTCATGATTTTGAGGCCTCCCCAGTCATGTGGAACTGTAAGTCCATTAAACCTCTTTATCTTCCCAGTCTTGGGTATGTCTCTATAAGCAGCATGAAAATGAACTAATACATTGACCAAGCCCCTTCTCAGGACAATAGTTCACTCAACTAGTCAAACATACTTGCCTATCAAACAACTACTTACCAAGAGTCATTCCTTGAATTCATCTGTTTTACAATAATAAACTATTAAGAATTTTGCTTAGCCTTAATTAAATCCTACATTGAAAGATTGCCTTAAACCACTTGCAAGGAGATCCCTGAACCACAACAGTATCAGGCTTAAGCTCCCCTTCTAAGACACTACTAAGCCTCAGTCAAGATGGTGTTCTGCCCCATGCAGTAGGTAAACAAATACGCTTTCTTCATCAATGTGTCATTCTGGTATTCTCTTTGGAGACTCAATAGTAGACACCACTTATAATATTTATAATTTTAAAAAGTATCAAAATCTAGCATGAGCTCCCCAGGACAACATACTCAGAACCTAGCCTTGGTCTATGGACAGTATGTAGTGTTAGCCCTATGGACAATGTGTGCTACTGTGAAGTGGGTATTAGGATTCTGATAATGGAAAAAAATAGCTAAAGAAAATATGAGACAAATCTTTGAAATGTATCTATTCTAGTTAATATTCTCCTAATTCAGCTATGAACATAATAGTTATTAATATTTTAAACATCAATTTTTTAATAAACCCAGAGAATAATGTTTATTTGTCTTGTATACTGTGAGAATGTTAAAACAAATTTTCTTTTAATTAAAAGCTTTAAATAAATTAATTTCTAATTTTATTTCTTGTAGTTGTATATGGACTTTCAATTATGAAGGAAATTTTTCACTGAACCACTTGCTCTTATGTACTAGTTTTAAAGACCTTTGTTTATGTTTCAGGGAATCTACAGTATTTGATGCTTTCCTTTTGAACACATCTAAATGGCCTTTAAACCTCTGAGGCTTGAAAAAAGTGAACCATTATTAAATGTTATAAAATATGAGGTGCAGTTTAACATATTGAGACTTTTAGAAACCTGAAGTTCAATAATATTTTTTCAAACAGCAATTTTACAGTATCTATAAAATCCACTATAACTGACTGTGGCTTACAATGTGAACTGCTATGATTTTATGAACTTTTCCCCAAATAAATAGTTTTGATTTTGAGCTGATGTTAAAGGAATATGCTACCTCTGTAATTGGTTTGCTTTTATAAAGAAAAGAAGTAATAAATATTTCTCCCCTAAATGAAATTTAATTGAAGGCATGCTATTTTAGAGCTGAACCTAAATGTTAACTTATGTGAAAAGATATTATTTTCATAAAATATTTTGGAAATTTAGATCTTTAAATAAAATAGCAACATTATTAAGACAATATTTTTAGCCTCAGAGTAGAAATGCATTTGGTCCTACAGGTTTTCCCCTTTCATAATGCACTGCTTATTAACAAAGAAAGTTGGTTATATTCAGGGTTGTTGAACTATTCTCCACTTTGTAAATTCAAAATTGTGAAGTCTTTTCTCCAAAATTATATTTCTAATAAATACAATCATTACCCAAATTATTCTTATAGAGCATTTAAATTAAAATCCCAATACTTTTTTTCTGAACTCAATACCTATCTAAAAAGTGAACATTTCTTCTTTTTATTTCACCTAAAAATAAAAGTATTCAGCAAAGTACTGGAATTAAGCTACCAAAAGATAATTACAGCTGGTATTTTATATGTTTTATACTGTCAGCATTTTTCAAATTATTTTTTTTCTTAACAGAAACCTTAATTTGCACTGATTTTCAAATATGTGCAGAGTAAATTGAACAAGTTTAAAGAAAAAAAGCAGTGCTGGTTTAAACAAGAAGCAAAATGCAAAACCTGGGAAAGCAATAACTGTTACAACTACCTCAGAGGTGACAGGGAGAATTGAAACAGACCCTTGCTTTTGCCAGTAATAGGCACATTGCATGCCATTTTTTACACTAAATTCAGAGGAATACTTTTCTTTTAAATTGTCATATCAAATAAGTAAATTGAACATAAGAAATAATTTATATTATTCAAGCTAAAATTAGCAATGGAATAGCAGTGCGATATTGCTTAGGATGACATGTGGCTAATGGAAAATATGGTAATGGATGTATCTTGAGTGTCACTCCTAGTCTAAATTTAGTTCACTAAATAATCACAACAATAATTCCCTTCTGTTTTCTCAACACCAGCTTCTTATTATGCTTTATTTTTGCATTGTTTCAGAAGCATTGCTTCTATTTATAAAACCTCAAATGTCATTTACATGTGACTTCAAAGAAGCATCAGAATTTATCTCTCTAATAGATAGATAATTATTGATGATACATTTTCAGCCTTTTCTTGATGCGATGTTGCATCTGATGTTCACTTCTTTAGGGTGGGTATGCACAGCACAAAGGTAAGGGAAAAAGAGGTGGAGTTACATTCAATGTAAGTCTCTTGGGAGTGGAGTGGGGGAGGAGAGAGCACATCTTCGAAGGAGCTGGTTCCAAATTACCAAAGTGAGATATCCAAATGCTTAGGACTCCTGATCTGCTTTTCCTAACGAAGTCTCATATTACATCTTTTTGAGTGTGTAAAAATAAAAACTAAAGCCTTTTAAATTATAATTTATAATGTTTTGGTAAATTTAAAACTTAGGAATAGTGTTTACTTATAGATATTGATTAGTATGATTTTCCAAGAGATAAATTAATGAGAAAGAGGTTATCCGCTTTATTTTAAAAATAGAATAGAAATCAACTATTTGGCATTGAGTTTGGGGATAAAAACTGTTCGTTTAAGAAATGCATGGTAATTTTCTGCCTCTGCTAGCTAACATCAATTTTATCTATTGATTACATTTTACTGTTTGATTTTTTTCATTAAAGATATCCTAATCTTCATATATATCTTAATTTTAATATCAAATATGAGAATGAAATCTAAAATTTATTGGACATTCATTTATGTACCTTGTAGAGTCCTTATCTTATTTAGTTCTCAAAACAACCTATCAGTACAGATAGTGTTAACGTCATTCCACAGTCAAAGATATTGAAGCTCAGAAAATTCAAGCAAATTGTTCATAAGTACAGCTAATGCATGCAGGTGACAGAACTTGAACCTGCTACTACTACCCAATTCTAACAACTATTCTCAATACAGGAGATTTTCTTCCAGGAATTTCATCTGTTAAATTGCTGCTCACCTTTGCCTTGATTTTATAGGTATTGTTCTTTATTTCTTTAACTAGCCTTAGAACCCATTACATTTCTCGAAGTGGTTTTCCAAGAGGACTCTTCTTTTTCAGTAGGTACTCATCTGAAAATAATTAATACTTTTATAACTTATAACTTCCTTAAATAATTTAAAAATAAATGTATGTTATATTTAAATATTTATTTTAGATTATATTTTTAACTTTTTATATATTTATATATTCTAATTTATATTATAATGTATTTTTGCTTTATATTTAAGTTCTTTTAGGCAGCATGGACCCACATCAGCTTTGGGTGTGAATATTTAATATTTATAAAACACCTTCCTTGCAACAGTAACGTGCTAGGTGCCTGGGTTACAGAGTATATCAGTCAGGGTTCTCCAGAGAAACAGAATCTCACACACACACACACACACACACACACACACACACACACACACACACACTTCCAGTAAGGTATAAATATTATTCATATTAATATTATGCATAACATAATATTTATTATAAGGAATGCACTCACATGATTATGGAGGCCGAGAAGTCCCACTATCTGCCTTCTATAAGCTGGACACCCAGGATAGCCGTAGTGTGGTTAAAAGGTCTAAGATTTGGAGAGCTGGTGTTATAGATTTCAGTCCCATTCTGAAGGCCTGAGAACCAGCAGTGCCAAGGGCAGGAGAAGACCAATGTTTCAGCTCCATCAGTCATGAGGAGAGTGAATTTAATTTTGCACCATCTTTTTGTTCTAATCAGGCCCTCAATGGAATGGATGATGCCCACCTACATGGAGGAGGGTCATCTGCTTTATTCTGTTCACCAGTCCAAACACTAATCTTTTTGGAAACACTCTCACAGACACACCCATAAATCATTGGTTGGGGCTCATAGGCTGATACCCCAAAATATGGTGCTTTGACATACTGGAGAAAACCTCAAGTGTTCTCTGACTTCCTCATCTCCTGCCATCTGTGAAACTGAAGTTTCTTTATCTGCCTAAGATCCAGACCAACCAAGGAGAATAATTGTTTTTTGTTCCCCTCCCTGTAAGACCAAGATTGTAACTATGCCTGAAGAGACACTTTCACCAGATATCATCTCTGTTACCTGATCCATTCATTCTCCCTAGGAAGCCCCTCAACAGAATTCCTTTTCTCCTTCCTCCCCCCAAAACCTGTGGTGCCAGGATGACATATAAGCTTCTGACCTCTGTTGGGGGTGGGAGAATTATCACTTTGTGATTCTCCCCATGTACACATTAAATAATTTGTATGCCTTTTCTCTGATTAATCTGCCTTTTGTGTGTTGATTTTTTAGTGAATCTTCAAAAGTTGAAGATGAAGTTTTCTCTTGACACCTACAAATATTTAACCAGTTATTTGGCCTAGTCAAGTTGACACACAAAATCAACCATCACACAGAATAATCATTGTCTCTTCCACCCAAAATCTCCCAGTCCAGGAGTAAAAGTAGCTCTACAAATAGTAATTATGGTGTCATGGGATAGAACTGCAACAGAAATCCTGATCAAAGATGAAACATACATGGATTTGACCATTCAGGACTCAGAATATACACAGTGCAGGAAGCAACAGCAGCATTCATGGATTTAGTGAATTCATCTTATCAAGCACCTTATAGACGCCAACACATTTTCATAATAAAATAGTGCAATAGCTATTGCAAGCTTTCAGATTCGTGGAAGTTAATTAAGGCTTTGCATAGACAAAGTCATAGGGCAATTAAAAAAAAGTAGCGTATTTAAAAAAACTTGAGTAGACCAACATTCTTGGAGTACTGAGTGAATGCACGGGAAAGGACCAAGAGTCTAGAAAATTTGGTTAGGACATGATGTAACTGAGTGCTGAGCTATGGTGTTTGCTGGCTTAATCCTGAAAATGGGAAGAGTTTTGATGATTTTAACAGACAATAATGTTGCTGTATCTCTCGTCATTTGAAAGTGGGAGCTTATCTTCATGGCTTGGGCAGAAGCCCCTAGGTAACCAACTATAAGAAAATCCGAGCCTCTGGCATTTGCTCTGAACTATTGGCTCACTTGCCCACTAAACCCATGATTATACTTCTGTGGCCTTCAGATTAACTGCCACGGTACTCTGGGTACTGAGAGCTTTACCCAGCCCTCCTCTCTACACAGCTTCTTGTCCTGGCTTACTGATGTTGGCACCTTTGCTGAGATCACTATATAGTCCCATGCTTCTACTGGCTTCTGCAAAGCAAGCACTTTCTCCCAGTCTCAGATTTGTGAAAGTCTGACTGTCTGAGCCAGTCTCAATAGCTTTTTAGGAAAGAACATCAGCCATTTATTCAGAGGTCCTGATACTCAGGACCCTCTGCCCATTACTCCGTGCTGGGAAAATGGATGAAATGACATCCACTTCTAGTGATCTACACTAGGCAAGATAATTGAATCATTGAATAAGAAAACAAAGCCATATATTAAGTAGTTTTTACAGCTCAACAAAAATGAGGACAGAATTAATAAGTTCGTATTTGCACATACCCTGGGAGGAACACAGAGCTTGTATCAGTGCTGCTTTGACCTCTTCTGAGAGTCAAGGGAAATTTCAGACTAAGGTGGGGAGGGTAGGTGGTGGTGATAACCCCTTTCCCTCCTCCAGGTTAGGATTTTTCCAGGCTGAGCTAATAGAAGAGAGAGATTTATAATGTGACTCAGATTTAGAAAAAGAGACTCCATTTAAGTAATGCTCAAAGATAAACAGGCAGGAAATTAAACTGACAATGTGAAATGGCCAATCTTCCACCATTTTCTTTTCATTCTTCTTTAGATATTTTTCCTGGGCCCAGACTACCTTTCCTCACCATCTGTAATAAAGTATAGGTCAGAGGGGCTGCGATTGAAGAGGAGGTGGGGCTTTCAGTGTTCAAAAGAGATTAAAGGAGGTACGTACATATGGAGGCATGAGAAAGAAAGCCCAGTAGGACCTTTGCCACACAGGGATTGAAGCTGTGGGTTCCTCAGGGGTATATATAAGGGGTGTCCTCCTAATGTTTACATTATCCTGAAATGAG
Source organism: Homo sapiens (assembly GCF_000001405.40). NCBI lineage: Eukaryota > Metazoa > Chordata > Mammalia > Primates > Hominidae > Homo > Homo sapiens. The sequence goes on along the minus strand of NC_000006.12, from coordinate 92,850,198 downwards.
ACCTGAGTTTACATTATTCATGGCTCTGTGTTTATCTGTGAGTGTATGAGCACTGGTGAGGATAGAAACGAACCACCTCCCTCATCACTACTTATTACAAATGTCTTCATGGTTGGTATCAGATAAGATTATCCTAAATCCCATTTTGTTCATGATAGTTCTGTTTATATGTGTTGTCCCAGTGTGTTTAGTAGCATGCCATTCTTCTCAAAAGTGTCACAATAGGCTGATAAATTATAAGATCACCTTAGTATTAGGGAATAATCAGAAAGCCTCGTACAGAATCAATGACTGGCTGCCAGTGAAGGTAGATACTTTCTCAGTCTTTAGTCACTCTTCCCATCCAGATAAGTGGTTGAGCCAGTTTCTCAAGTTGTTCTTTGCCTTCTGTTTATCAGGGAAGTCAGAGTATGTAGTCACCTTCCTCTTACAAACAGCTAGTCTACCTGGACATAGCGTTTGGGTATAGTATTATTCTCCACCACTCCAGGGAAATATATTTTACAACCAGAAGAAGGGGCCACATTATTTGTCTTTGTGTCACCAGGGCCTGGCACTGACGGCCAGAAAAGCATGCAATATTTATGGGATATGCCGTGATCTCATTATGCCATCAGGAGACTGGTGCTGTGGCCCCAAATGCTAAAATGTGCCATGGAATCTGTCTCCTTATTTAGTAGCTGGGATGAAGTCTTGAGCATCTCAAGCTCAAATTCAGGAACAACTAAACAGAAATGTAGGTGAGAGTTGAGAGCAAGAAACAGGCTTGTTCAATAAATCAGAGAAGGGACAAATTCATCCAAGTCAGAAAGGGAGAGTCTCCTGTCAAAGGAAAATTGCACTGGACAGAGTTAAGAGGCAAGGAAGATTTTATTCAAGACTATTGTAATAGGGGTCAAGTCTGTTGCAATCTGTGAAAGAAAGTGAGCTCAACTCTGCTAAAACAAAAGGCAAGAGAACTTTTGAATGCTGGGGTGAGCTAAAGGAAAAAGTACCTGGAAGACCTTAGGAGGGAGGTTGGCTAATGTGATATGGCCATTTTGCTTGCTAATTGGTGCTTGTCAAAGTTAGGCTCCTACTCTCCCAGATAGGGAGATAGGGGCACTGTTTTTCTTAATGACTGCATTTCAAAGGGATGGCTCCTAGTTCCTTGAGAAAGACCTTTCTGGCTTATAGATTTACATCTCAAAGAGTCAGAGAAAAATTTTCCATTTTAAATGCTCTAAGAAAAGGGAAAAATTAGTTAAGTGGAGGGTAACAGTAAGGCAATCTTGGTTATGCCTCCACTCTCTGAAAAAAATGCATCTCTGTTTAAGACTACAGGATCAGAGGGGATGAACCCCAAAGTTTAAGGTGCAGATGGCCAAGGGGATCATGAAGCTCTGAGATTGGACAGTCCAGAGAAGAAGAGAGCTTCTGGGCACGTACCTCTGCTTTAGAAATGATTTCGACTCATATTCTTCCATGAGCAAAGAAGCAACCTGATAGGTCATGTAGAAAGAGTTGAAAAGGCTGTAGAAGAGATGGGCTGTGTGAGTAGCAGTGCATGGGTGGCAGTGAATGCTTGGTAATGACAAAGAAGCTGGTCAATTTTAGTCAAGTTAGAACCCTCAAAAGAGATACGCTTATCGCCCTTGCTTCTTTACAAATTCTACAAACCCTAAAAACTTTTTTCCTTTTCCAGGAGCAGCAGCATCAGTAGCAGTTGGGTTTGCTCCCACTTCAGACATGCTGAATCAGAAATTTTGAGGTTGAGGTCCAGCAACGTGTTTTAACAAGCCCTCTAGGCGATGCTGATGCACTCTCATGTTTGAAACACTACATACTAGATGACAAGTTTAATGTTGAGGTCTATTTTTTACTGTGTTTGATATATTTTTGAAAATTGATTATGGGAAAAGTATTAGAAGAACTCATTTAGGCCTGGAGCTGCTGTTGGAACTGATTGCTATGTATGGAAACTCCAGCAGAGCAGCCTTTGAAAAACAGATTGATAACAATTAACTCTAAGCACCAGTGATTAACCTTAAGTAGCCTAGGCTGCTCCCCAAGGAACCACAATTTACTGAGAGCCTAAGAAGTTGTAGCTATTTAGCATGTAGATTGGTCCAAGCACAAACATTTTTCTATTTCTAAGATTCTATTGTTGTGGCTTCTGTCACTTGCTGTTACTTTTTCTTAGTATAAGTACAAAGTTGAGAGGAAGGATGCATGAAAATAAACAATACTGAATCCCTACTAAGTGTTGGGCAGTTTATATACTTATCTTATTTAACTGATGAGGTAACTGACTCTCAGATTGGTTCAGTAATGAACCCAGATGAACAAGGACAGATGTAAAGCATTGTCTAACCTCTAAGCTCATGCTAAATCATGGAGGATATAATAGAATTAAAACCCTCTCCACCCTACAACAAAATAATAATTCCATTGTAGCAGGACAAGCTGCAGACAAAACCCCTCAGACACCGAGTTAGAGAAGGAGGGGCTTTATTTGGCTGGGAGCTTCAGCAAGACTCACATCTCCAACAACCGAGGTCCCTGAGTGAGCAATTCCTGTCCCTTTTAAGGGCTCACAACTCTAAGGGGGTCCGTGTGAGAGGGTCGTGATCGATTGAGCAAGCAGGGGGTACGTGACTGGGGGCTGCATGCACCGGTAATTAGAACGGAACAGAACAGGACAGGGATCTTTACAGTGCTTTTCTTATGCAAATAACCGATTAGGTCAGGTGTCCATCTTTAACTACCAGGCCCAGGGTGTGGCGCCAGACTGTCTGCTTGTGGATTTCATTTCTGCCTTTTAGTTTTTACTTCTTCTTTCTTTGGAGGCAGAAATTGGGCATAAGACAATATGAGGGGTGGTCTCCTCCCTTACCGTGTGACAACATGAGGAGTGTTAGTCAAACCATTGAACCAGTAGTAACTCCCAACTCCCCTTTTTAGCCTAAAATAATAATACAAATAAAAATAATTTTTAACAACTACTGAGAGCTACCTATATTTCGGTACTGTGCTAAATATCTGACACATAAAATATTCATAAATCTTTACAACACATAGAAGATAAATTATAACACTGCCACACACACCTAAATTCTAATACTGCCACACACAGCCCCTTCCCCAGCCCCAGTTTTACTGCTGAGGATACTGAAGCCATCAGTGGTAAAATAGCTTACCTGTGAACATTCAGCAAATTACTGTAGAAGCTTGGATGAAAATTTGGACATCCTGCTTCCTGAATCCATGTTCTTAACATTAACAATACCTTGCTCCTGAACTTCTTTCCTACTCATATAACCTGATGTTGCAATGACTTTCCTGAAGCAGCTATGTCAAGGCCTCCCTGGAAAATTAATTCTTTAGGATTTGTTTTCTTCCCAGAGAATCCAAGGACCATACTCAATAAACACTTCTGTTGCACTCTACATTACCTACCAGTTTCTCCTTTCACAAGGTGGCTCAGTTTGTGAACTTTGGATTAAAAAACAACAAAAAAATTATCTTAATCCCAGCTTCCTCTCTACCATATTGATATCTCCATGCTGTGATGCACCTAATAGATCTTCCTTTTAAGCTAGCATCATCCACACATAAATCTTGAAACACCTGCTTTTCTCTCCCTTTAGACTTCACTAATTCTTTCTCTAAAATGAGATGAATGGCTGGTCCTTATTACTGAATGGCTGAGAACAATTTACATAGTCTGGGAACAGCAACTTGATCCCAAACATGTGATCCTTTTCCTCTTCACATCTTAATCTCTAGTGAGAAAAAAAGAGTCATGAAGATTCTTCCTTACCGAGTATCCATAGGAAGACAAGTCTATGTCAGCAGGTGTCACACGGGGGACAAAATACATGGCTTTTCCCTTGCTATTTCAGGGAGGCCTAATCTCATTTTTTCACAAGAATCTTCTTTTATTGTGATTAGCTCAACCTTACAACCCCAAATGGAAAACTCTTTGTGAACTAAAAGGAGACAGGTGTCCTTGGCTGGGCTAAATAGAGGAGGAAGGATTGGATGGATAGGTCATATCCATCCATAGCTCTGGGAGGTTATGGGAATACGTGGAATGCTGGCTGTTAGAACAAATCCTCACTGAATTCATGAGGGGAGGAGCACTCCAAACCATAGATTTGGTAATAATGTTTGCAGGGAGATTATCATTTTACTATTGGTAGTGTTATCTACACTATGGGTGGGTTTAATCACTTGGTGTGTGGCAATCCAGTGACCACAACCAAGGAGGATTTAACAAGGGGATTTTATTACTTTCAACAAGTAAGGAGGACACCAGGGATAGTTTCCAAAGTGGTATCTCCCAGAACATCTGTGAAAACAGAGCTTTTATTGGGCTGCTGAGTTGAGTCATTGTAGAGGTAGAGTAAAGGCAGCTCAGGCACTGTTGCCAATCATGCTTCTACATACATTGCATGTATAAAAAATGGTGAAAAATCACCTCCCTGGGCGGGGATTTTAGTATGGTGATGGTAATGAGGGGAACTTGCCAAAGGTTATCTCCAACTCAGGCATCTATGGACTGAGCTTCTTCCTGGAACTTTTTTGAAAAAACAAGAACTCAAGGAGTAAGAGTTACAAGTGGGTACTTTTTCAGAGTGTACACCCCAAAACCCCAGGACCCTGGGTTACAGCAGCAATGGCAAAGAGAGTGTAGAGTAGGAATTAAGGCATGGTGGTGAATTATTTTGACTAGTTAAAAAACACCTACAATTGCATAGTTCAACAGTGTTTTGAAAAAATGAGTTCTATGTTTGCTCATAACCATCTCTTTTTACTTTGTAATTATGCCTGTAAAGTATTTCTGTCACTTAAAATTCAGTGGACTATTTAGGGGTGGGGAATTTAATGCTGGTTAGCATGAAGATATTATAACCTGAGGTGAATAAATAGCTAAGTATAATCATTTGGTATAATGTTCAAGTGTGTGAGTGTGTGTGTGTGTAAACTTTTAATTCCAGCTTAATATGTGTCAGTTTGAATTCTATATCTCTATAAAGAATATGGTACAGTAACATTGAATCTTAGCTTCAAGTGTTGTCATATTGAACAGATATTATTCAAAATTAATTTATTTTTGGTAAATTTTTAATTATGTCCATGAAGACATATAGCCTTAAGACTGTAGGATCAAAGGATGGATAAAAATCCTTAAAAATTTAAGCAGATTATAATAGCAAGTTTTACAATAGCATAGAAGTTTTAGTCTTATTAGAATCAATTTGGTCAGGAAATAAAAATTTAATATTTGAATTAAAATAACCTAAAATTTTAGCATAAGAATCGAAAGCAACTCTTTGATTGATAACAGAGTATTTTAAAATTTTACATTTCAGAAATATACTTCCAAAGATTAAAAGACCCCCTCAAACATATCAAATTGAGATAAAACTCACCGTGGCCTATAGATCTAAGACTGGTCTCTGTTAACAAATGCACCTCAGCAAACTCAGGACTTGAGAAGCCTTAGCCTTGGGGCTGCCCAGGGCTCTGCCACAGCTCAGATGGATACTTACTCAACCAGCAACTTAACTCTGTCATTGGCAAGTATCAAGGTCACAAGACTTCTGGAGTGTATCCTATCAAAGGTACAAAATGGAGCCTTTTTTTCATCCAAAGAGGTTTAGGCTTGAATTTTGAAATCTTATTTCTGGGATGTGTTGTATTCAACTGATTATAAAATTGTATCTTTGTTTTACTGTGGTTCCCACTGCTGTAAGCAAATGGGACCTCTGGGATAACCACTGTCACCTAAAAATTAATTCACATTAAATATAATTTTAAGGTATTGTTAGGTACATCATAATAAACATAAGCACTACTTACCCAATAATCCAACCACCAGTGATCAATCTATCTTCAAACAGATGGTGTCATGACAAATTAGACAAAATGTGGAAATCATGGCAAGATCCTAGGAAATGTAAACAGATGTTTACAGCACAATGATCATGATCACGTTCAATTTATGCATTCATAGAGTGCTGGTTCCTTCTGCCTCAAAGGGATATTTATTTTGTGAAAGGAGTTTTAATGCCTACATGGGTGTAATCAACAGGTCTCTCAACATTAAAAACACTTTTTGCTAATTGAAGCATCTTACATACTATAAATGTGTGTGTCTATAGGAAAGAGATATAACACATTTTCTCTGCTCAGACTTTACTCATATGTGTCATGTAATTTGGGCTTCACATTTCTTCAATTGAATTACACGCACACACACATGCACACACACACACAAATTGAACCTCAAGAAAACAAAAGTAATGTGATAATGTGGCTTTAATGTTTATCTTGTTTATTAGTTTTCTGGGGCTGTCATAACAAATTACCACAAATTGGGTGACAACACAACCGACGTTTATTCTCTCGCAATTCTGGAGTTCAGAAGTCTGAAATCAACATATTGTCAAGGCCATGCTGCCTCTAGATACTCTGCAAAAGAATCCATTCTTGCCTTTTCAGCTGCTTCTGGCTATAGGTATTCCTTTGCTTGTGACCACATCACCCTGAGCCCTGCCACTGCAGCTACTTTGCCTTTTCCCCTCCTCTCTTCTCTCTTGGCGTGTGTCTCAAAACTCTCTCTTATGAAAAGGCATGTGATTACATTTAGAGCTCACATGGATAATCCAGGATAAACTCCTCCTCTCTTAATTTAATCATATCTTTTGCCACAATATTCACAGCCTCCAGGGATTAAATCATGGACATATCTTTTTGGGGTCATCATTCAGCCCACTATGTCTCATCAGTTAAATTGTTGTAATGGAGCAGGTATGCAAGTTGTCCAGACTATAAATTGCAGTCCTTTTCACACTAAAATGATGTCCACAAAGCCATTTTTTTACAACCACTATTTATTTTACATCCAGCGTGCTTATTAAACTTATACCATGGATTTTACACTTCATTTTTAAATCTTTTCTCTTTCTTCTCTGATTCTAGAAGGACCATTTCTAATTCTAAGTAGGCAAATAGGAACTATTAGAGAGGGATAGGCACATGTGTTCTGAATGGTCAGGCAGGACTGACCTTAAAGAGAATTAAGACAGCAGCAAAGTCAAATACAAATATAAGAGCAAGTAGTTCAAAATCAGAGTTTTAAAAAGAGAGAGAGAGAGACAGAGAGAGAAACTCAGATAAAGAATATCATAGGGAAAAGCAAATGTTTAAATGTACAGGTTTATTGGGGAGAGTGAATAGCACTGCACCACTTGAAACTTCTCACCCAGATTGCTCCCTTCCTAGCCTTGCACATACTCGTTTGGTGGTATTCATGTCTTATACTGTGTTCTGTTCCTCATTGATATTTCTGGGGCTGTGATATCAGTAACTACAATTGCACTTCCATTGCAAACTGGAGGAAGAACATTTTATTTCATTTATGACTATATCTCAAAATGATGGTTGATATGTCAACTTGTCTAACTGGTATATCTTTTCTTCTAGACATGATACACAGGGAGCCCGAAGCACATTCTGTGCTTTGAGGTCCTTGCAAAGGCAATCAGACTTACAAAATGCTTTAAGTATCCCCTAAAAGGGCCTTGGGGACCCCCAGGCCAAAATAACAGTTATCAATAGAACTGTTATTTTGGTAGAAAAGTCAGTAATTAAATAAATAACCACACAAATTACTATCCAAAGACAGATTGTAGTAAGTGATCAGAGTGATTCTGGCTTCTGCGGCAATGTAATGTTAATGTTTATTTTATGAATGAAGTTTTAATGTTCATATGGAATAGGGAAAATGTGGAAGAAGGAGATCTAATTTAGATGGAGATCAAGGAAAACCCCTCTAAGGAGGAGGCACTGAACTTGAAGAATCATTAGGAGCTAGCTACAGAAAGTACCGGGTAGAGGAAGTATAATGTGCAGAAGCTTTGAAGGGGAAGGAGCTTGGCAGGCCTGAGGAACAGTGTGGCTGGCTCACCATGACTGAGGCAGCCAGAACATTTCAAGTTGAGCCTGGGAATGTGGACAAGGCTCAATAATCACAGGCCCTTGAGGATTTTAACAGCAATGGGAAGACACTGAAAGGTTTTATTCAAGACACTGACTTGACAGTTAAAAAGACTTCTTTGACTGTTTGGGGGAAAATAGATTGAAGGGTTATGAGTGCAGACAGAAAGCCCATTTAGGAAGCAATTTTGTGAAAAATATAATCATTGCTTGGATTAAGGTAATAGTAACAGAAATGAAGCATTTAAAAATATATCTTTAATATAGAATCCTTGTGAATAATGGACTAGGTTGTTGAGGCTGACCTCCAGATGGCATTCATAACCAAGAAAGTAGAGGTGCTTTATACTGAGATACACTGTCATGACTTGATTAATGACAGGGATACATTCTGAGAAATGCATCGGTGGGTGATTTTGTTGTGCAAACGTTATAGAGTATACTTTATATAATACAAATCTAGATGGTATAGCCCACTATATACCTAGGCTATCTGGTATAGGTTATTCCTCCTACGCAATGAACCTGTACATCATGTTACAGTACTGAATGCTCCAGGTAATTGTAATACAATGCTAAGTATTTGTGTTTCTAAGCATAGAAAAGGTACTGAAAAAATATGGTATAAAAGATTTAAAAATGGTGCACCTGCATAGGGCACACACCATGAATAGGGCTTACAGGACTGGAATTTGCTCTAAGTGAGTGTGTGTGTAGTGAGTGAATGTGAAGGCCTAAGACATTACTGTCCACTACTGTAGACTTTATAAAGGCTGTACACCTAGGCTATCCTAAATTTATAAAAAATAATTTTTCTTCAATAAGTTAACCTTAGCTTACTGTAACTTTTTAAATTTATGCTTTTGAATGTTTCTAAATATTTTGACTCTTTTTTTTTTTTTTTTGAGACAGACTCTTGCTCTGTCACCCAGGCTGGAGTGCAGTGGCGCAATCTCAGCTCACTGCAACCTCCGCCTCCTGGGTTCAAGTGATTCTCCTGTCTCAGCCTCCTGAGAAGCTGGGACTACAGAAGTGCGCCACCACGTCTGGTGAATATATATATATATATTAATAGAGATGGGATTTCACCATGTTGGCCAGGATGGTCTCGCTCTCCTGACCTCGTGAGCCACCCACCTCAGCCTCCCAAGTTGCTGGGATTACAGGGGTGAGCCACCACGCCCGGCCACTGTTTGACTCTTTTTTAATCATACAGCTTAAAACACAAACATCGTACAGCTGTACAAAAATATTTTGTCTTTATATCCTTATTCTATAAGCTTTATATAAATATATATATATTACTTTTTAAACTTTTGTTTTTGTTAAAAACTAAGACACAAACACATATATTAACCTAGGCCTATACATGGTCAAGATCATCAACATCCTTGTCTTCCGCCTCCACATCTTGTCTAACTTTAAGGCCTTCAGGGGCAATAACATGCATTGAGCTGTCATTTCCTGTGATAACAATGCCTTCTTCTGAAATGCCTTCTGAAAGAACTGCCAGAGGCTATTTTACAGTTAACTTTGGAAGGAGTACACCCTAAAATAAGCATCAAAAGTATACTATAGTGGATACATAAAGCAGTAACATTGTCATTTGTTATCATTATCAAATATGTATTGTACATAATTGTACAGTATGTGCCATACTTTTATTCAACTGGCATCACAGTTGATTTGTTTACACCAGGATCACCACAAACATGTGAGTCATGCATTGCACTACATTACCATGGTTATGATGTCACTAGGCAATAGGAAATTTTTCAGCTATATTATTATCTTACGGATCACTGTCTTACACGTGGCCCATGGTTGACTGAAACATTCTTATACATCGCATGACTGTAAATGAAGTGAGTAGCAACAAATTGGGGAGAAAACAAAGAGTTCTTTCAGATATGTTAAGTTTGAGGTATATGTGAGACTTTTAAGTACAGATGTCAAGTAGGAAGCTAGGGTCTGGAGTTGCAAAGATGAGTCCAGACTGGAGAGATGAAAGCGTTCTGCCTAGAAAATTTGCAGAGCCAAAGGGGATGATGGAGGTTTGCATACTGTGTGCATAAGTTAAACTAAGACACTGCTAAATAGAATACGTTCTCCCCTACTACCTTGACAAATATGCCTTCATAATGACAAAATATAAAAGTTATGTTATAAAGTTATATATATAAAGCCATAGTTTTTACATTAGTAAAAGTTATCAGAGATATCAAAGGTGACTGAAAGTTGGAAAAATAACTCAAGTCACTGAATTTCATTATTATTGCACATTTTTGGGTACTCTTTTGAAGGCCTAACAACTTTTTAATTAATAGTGTAACAAAGATATATGTACTTAATAAATTAATATATATTTATTCAGTTAAAATTATTTTTGACAACAGTGATAATTATGTGTCATCATTTTAAATATAATTTATATTTTATTATTAGTGACATCAAACTATACTAGCTTTCTATCAGCTGATGTTGTAGCAACTGGAATTAAGATATGAAATCATGAATTTTACATATCATAATACAGAACATATTATAAAATATACATGGTTGTCAAGTATAGCAAGATATTTACCACTTCTTAATATAGTATCTAGTTCCATATATTATTTCTTAATCTCTTCTTTTTTCAGTGTTCTAATGCTTGAATGTTACAAAGAAAACAAAAATTAGTGGCTTATTGGGTTGATATAATGCCTCATTGAGTTCAAATATCTCTTCAGTCAAATTACACTATCAGTAATGACTACAAAATAGTCCTATGAAAATTAATTGTGGACTTACTTGTATGTGAATCTTTTTTCTCACAGTCACACAAATGTTTTTATTTTCTGGTCCTAAATTCTGTATATTTTTGGATTGCCACTTTTGTTGTCTATTTTACACATATTTTGTCTCAATTTAGAAAAAACTCAATAAATTTTAATTATTTTTAAAGTAAAATAATCAGTTACATCTCTTTTCTTGTGAGCCTTCGCTAACAATGTCAAGCAACAGATCATATTCTAAAACTCTAGAGTGTTACCATAAATTCAAGATGAATTTCATTTCCTTTCAAAGACCCTGCACTCCATAGGAGGATCTTCTGTTGTTTGGTCTCCTTGTGCATCTCATAGCTTGGTTTCACTAATCTAACAGCTTCAGTGTCACTGGGTCAGTGTTCCCAATCAAGAATGATTATTAGATTAAATTTAATATGTATTCTAGCAAAATTCCCTATCTTTTGGCAGATTCTGAAAACATGTTTCAAAGTATTTCATCTCTTTGGTATAGTTGGGGACTTTTCTCCTAGTAAGAAATGTGTATTATGCACAATACATGGCATAAAGAATCCCTAAGGAGTTTCACCAAAAATACAATTTCTTACACTGTTTATTAACTAATTATGCTGGTGCTTTTACCATAGGCTTGTCCTTGACAATATCTTAAATTATATAAACAAAGCTGACTTTCAAATTTTACTGAACCCTTTTAAATATTTCATAAATACAATATTTTGCCATTCTTATAATTCTATGCTCCATTGATTTTCCATTGCCTAAAGAATAATGTCTAAATCCCTTCTTCACTTTCATAGATCTTCCTAATTTTATCATAGCCCACTTTCTACCTCATGTGTCTTTGATATCGGTATATTCCTGGGCTAGATGACCACAGTAGTTCTTTCTAACGCTAAAATAATATAATTTCATTTCCCTGGAATATAATTGAAGATCAGGATTGATAAGGAGACAGTAATTGAAGTTTTAGCTATTTTTTATAACTTTAGTCTGACTATAAGTAAAATGTTCCATCTTAGATGCTGAGAAGCTTATACTAAGTATATCAAGCTGTAATCTCTACCCTCTGAGAGATACTGGAACCCTGAAAGGTTATTGAGAAGCTATAAATGGGCAATTGCTCAGAATTATTTTAAAAAGGAGAGTTTTGTGTTAATTTCTGGCATACTCAGAAAAGGAGATTACCGGATGTTTGGGAATATTTAGTAAAATAGAAACATTAACAGACATCATCATTGCTTCAATATGAACGAATATGTGAGACTAATACTCATTCTCTTTTTTTATTTATTAAAATTATTTGCCTGATAGTTTGGGCTGGATTTTAATGAAAATAATCACATATGCCTTCAATTATTAAAAAACATTTTTTTAAATTTTAACCTACATATGGTGATATTGCTACTTAATGATACAGTTGGAGATAGAATGTGTTTTGAGATTGCTGGCTCAGTGAGACCATGTTTATCTTTGCACTTGGATACTGTGGCTGTTTTAGTGGATGTCTTCAACTTCTTTGTAACTCCTCCCATCAAAAGGTGAAAAACAGAAAATGTACCTAAGGAATTGGATGATCTAACTGAGACTTCCAGGCAGAGTGTGTAAAGTGCTGACCAGTTTCTTCTAGTTGCTTAATAGTAAAATGTGAGAGGAGAGAAAGAAGCTAAAGAAAGAGCTGTTAAGTAAAAAGGGGCCTGAGCTTGTTGGGCTAAAAAATAAAGTGGTTTCTTATTTCTAGACTCTATAAATTGCAAAGATACCATAAGTAAGAAACTGCTTCCAGGCAAAGATAAAATCGAGGGAACTCTCAGAAAAACATGATCTAGATCAGTGATCCCCAATCTTTTTGGCACCATGGACGGGGGCAAAGTGGGAGAGGATGGTGTCGGGATGAAACTGCTTCATCTCATAAGGAGCGCACAACCTTGCATGTGAAGACAGTTCACAATAGGGTTTGCGCTGCTATGAGAATCTAATGCAGCTGCTGATCTGATGGGAGGCAGAGCTCATGCTGTAATGCTCTCTCACTCACCGCTCACCTCCTGCTGTGCAGCCCCCTTTATAACAGGCCATGGATCACTACTGGTCTGAGGCCCTGGGATTGGGGACCCCTTGTCTAGATATAAAACCAAGGATCTAACTGTAAAACTCCTTGTTAGGACCCCTGAAAGATTTAAGGGGGTGCCTTGTAGACCCTTTCAAACAGACAAAAGGTCTTCCAAGAATCTGGAGAGCATTGTCCCCACAGCACTACTGCAGGAAACCTAAGTGAAACAAGACTTATCTTGAGATTTTTCGAAGAGGTAGCTTTTGTCTAATAATTTTTATTTAAAAAATTGTATCGGCAGCTGGGCGTGGTGGCTTATGCCTGTCATCTCAGCACTTTGGGAGGCTGAGGCGGGTGGATCACGATGTCAGGAGATTGAGACCATCCTGGTCAACATGATGAAACCCCGTCTCTACTAAAATAGAAAAAAAATTAGCTGGGCGTGGTGGTGCATAACTGTAGTCCCAGCTAATTGCGAGGCTGAGGCAGGGGAATTGCTTGAACCTGGGAGGCGGAGGTTGCAGTGAGCCGAGATCACGCCACTGCAATCCAGCCTGGTGACAGAGTGAGACTCTGTCTCAAAAAAAAGAAAAGTGCATCAGCTTGAACTAAAAGGGACAGAGATGTTAAAAAGTAAAATGAGTCCCTTGAACTCTTGAAATATTATGGGCAATAAAAGGACTAAGAAAAGTACTCAGGTGGAAGCACTGGCCGTATTTTACATAAAAGGAAGCATGACTCAAGGGATGGAGCCCAGAGCCTAGAGAGCAGTATGAAGAATTTTTGATAACTGTCCCCAGAAATTAGAAATGGCAATGTGTCTTGCTGGAATTCAGTATTGCTATGGACCAGTGACTACTGTATGCCTTCTGCTCTTTTATTTCTTTGAGTGGGCATGTCTATAGTGGTTATCCTATGCCTGTCCTACCATTGTATGTTGGGTATATGAGGGGGTTGGATAACTTTTGTATGTAGTTCATAAGTTTTCAGATTAAGAGAAACTACTTGAGGTACTGTATTCAAGTAACTGCATCCAAGGAATCTCATCCAAACCTGGACCCGATACAGGCGATAAAATCTTGTTCCTCAAGCTTGAGTCCCATGCTCTAAAGACTTTTGAGAGGCCTTTTGAGGGGACACGATATTCTTTATGTTGAAGTAATGTAAGTAATGCAAGTAATTTGAGGTACATAGAGGAAGTACTATGGTGATTTTAATCATGTGCACACTCTTCCTATAAAAATGACAAAGTATTTCCTCTCCCCTGGAATATGAACTGACCTTAGTGACTTTCTCCTAATGAATAGAAGGTAGCACAGTTCACTGCATGACCATAGGGTTAGGTTAAAAAAAGGCCCCACTGTTTCTGCCAAGATCTGTCTTGGGATATTCTGCTTTGAAATTAGTCGTGAGGTAGGATGAGATCACATGGAGAAGCCACATTTAGGCATTCCTGCCAACAGCTCCAGCCAAGATCCCTGTCAATAGTCAGCATCAATCCCTAGATGCGAGTGAATAGACCTTCATTTGATTCCAGCCTTCCAGCTCTCACAGTTGCTACCAAAAGGAGCAGAGGCAGAGCCTCACCCAAATTACAGGTTCAGGAGCAAAATAAAGAGGTTTTTAAGTCAAGTTTTAGGATGCTTGTAACCTAGCAACTGACAATTGGGATAGACATAGTTCAATTTATTAGTAAATATAGAGGAGTTATTATATAGTAGTTCATGCCAAAAAGCACAGGGACATTACATTAATACCAAGAGCCTTAGTAATAATTATATATTATAATTGTATTCATGTTTCTCTTGCTTCTCCAGTAAAAGGTTAGATCCTGGAGGGCAAAGTCTAGGTTTTATTTACCACTGATCTTCTAGCTTCAAACACAGTTTCAGGAACATTGCAGAGAGAGAAAGAATGTACCTTAATAAACGAACAAATAAGGTAGTTCACCTGGTGATAAATGCAATGGATACAATTATGAAGGGTGATTTGGTAAAGAGTGGCTGATTTTAGTAGCAGCACCAATTCTTCAGAGGGTCTTTACTAAGGCACAAAGTTAAAAAAAAGCATATATAACAAAGGATCATTGGTAGTTATCAGTCCCACTCTTTAACCAAAGACTGAATATACAATAGCAGACATCGTTGAGCTAAATCTCCAGGGAGTTCATCATTTCCAGGGGATGGGAATGGCACTCCTCCTGTCTCAAAAAATTTCTCCTTTACCTTAGACCAGTTTAAACACAGCCCAATGTGGATTAATCTGAGCTCTGGTTGCACTGACTGCTTCTTCATAGCACCTTTCCAGCTCACAGGACAATGAGGAAATTAGCAGAACTAGGAAACATCAAGGATCTGAAACAGAATAAGAACTGGGCTTTTGGGGGTAAAGAGCCAATCCATTAGGCACTGAGCAGTTCATCTGCTTTATTAGAGCTCCAAGCACATGGTAACCTTTACTCACCTTGTTCCCACAGAGCAAAATTTGCAAAAATGAGAGTCCCAGAGAGCAGAGGTGGCACCTTTCATAGCAGCCCACCTCCTCAAAGTGCAGAGAGGGATCTTAGTCAGATGCATGAGTCAAAAGGGTAGTGTGGCTATTAACTGAGTCTTGAAATGTGTTAGTAGACTATAGTGTTCACAAAAATGGGGCCAACAACCGTATTCTGCTTATCTGACCATTCCAAAAGAGGTTTATTAAAGTGAGTGCCACCGTATAAAAATATATAAACACATTGCTGAAAAGTATGAAGGTATGATTCAAAATTATATCACCAGGAATAGTCGAAGGACTTGGCCATATATAGGCTGGAGTAGAGAATATTTCATAGGAAGTTTGAGGGGTAAGTGTGTCTTCAATTAAAATATATTAAACATCATAATTAACTAGAGTAGGGGTCAGCAAACTGTAGCCCTTGGGCCAAAACTAGCCTGCCATCTGATTTTGTAAACAAAGTTTTATTGGAATACAGTCACATCCATTCATCTTCTATATGGTGTATGGCTGCTTTTATGCAATACCAGCAGAGTTGAGTAATTGTGACAGTGACCATATGACCGGCATAACCTACAATATTTACTATCTGGCTCTATTGGGGAAAAATATTGCCAGTCTATGAGTTAGAGTGATATAAGAACAACCCTAGAACCAATGGATAAAAGTTACATTAGGGTGAAATTTTTGCCTAACAGAATAAGCTTTCTAGTAATTAGGGCCATTGTAATAGGAAAGGGGCTGCTATTGAGGCTATTACCACATGTTACAGGGAGGTTTACATCACAAAATTCATTCAAGACTTAGCTAGATATAAAGAGCATTCTTATGCTGACAGGTGTATGTCACCTTTAAGTTATTTTCCAAAGCCTTCTTCATTCAGTTATTTATGAAGTCTTTTAATGTTTCTTTCAGAGGTCTTGCTAATTCCCATGTTTCTTTCTATTCCCACATTTGCTGTAATTGACTGTGTTCTTCTCCATCTCACTGAACAATTCATGTCCTAATTGGTCTCCTTGCCTCTTGCTTTTCCCATTTGAATCTATCCTGCAAATTATGTTTTAGATTAATATTTCTGTGTAGTACTTTGCCTTTGAAACCACTTTACTTAAAATTTATCAGTGGTTTTCCCTTTTTCCCACGGAGTGCTATCCGAAGTTCTAAGACTGCTACTCAGTCTTTTCATCTTTACCACATTTCCAAACTTCATCATCCACACTCTCCTCCATGGATACTGAGATAGAAAGGAATAAAACAATTGTTTCCAAACATATTATACATATTTCTGCCTCAATTTTTTTGTCTTTACACCAATTTGATTTTAAACTTTTCCAAAAATCACCTCTGAATTCTCATTCTTTTCTTTCTTTATCACACATTCAGCTTTTAGCACATGTGATATTTGTATGGTTCTATGCTTTGAATGTGCTCACCTCAGACAAAATTTCTTAGCTCTATATTTAGAACGAAGGTTCTTGGTCCTGGATTGTTCCATGTAATATGTGCCTGGCTTGGTATTGTGATCCCCTAAAATCTGAGATAGGTCTCAGTTGGTTTAGAAAGTTTATTTTGCCAAGGTGAGGATGCATGCCCATGCCACAGCCTCAGGAGGTCCTGAGGACAAGTGTCCAAGGTGGTAGGGGCACAGCTTGGTTTTATAAATGTCAGGGAGACATAAGACATCAATCAATATGTGTAAGATGTACATTTGTTCATTCTGAAAAGGTGAGACAGTTTGAGGCAAAGGTGGGGCAACTCTAAGCAATGAGGGGGCTTCCAGGTTGTAGGTAGATAAGAGACAAATGGCTGCATTTTTTTGAGTTTCTGATTAGCCTCTCCAAATGAGGGAATCAGATAAATGTATTTATCTCAGTGAGCAGAGGGGTGACTTTGAATACAATGGGAGGCAGGTTTTACCTAAGAAGTTCCCGGCTTGACTTTTCCCTTTGACTTAGTAATTTTGGGGCCCCAAAGTTATATTCTCCTTCCACATTTCCCCACTTAAAAAAATCTTTTGGAGCAAGTGTTTTAGGTGAAAATGAGTCTCTGGTCTCAGGTTTTGTCTGATCTCTCATGGCTAGGATGATCAATTCCCAGGCGGGTAGGTCCTGAGTTATTAGGAAAGTTCATTTTTACCAGGTTGTGAAGTCTCATGTCCTATGAAGAGAAAATAGGGGGAAGAAGGGAGAGAAACAACAACAAACAGAAGAATAATCCTGGAAAATTGATATAGGCCACATTATTCTGAAGTCCATACATTAGTAGGCAGGTATGAAAGTGGCTTATGTATGTAAATAGGTTGCTGTTACTTTCTTCTGAAGTTTAAGTTGTCTAGCTTCAGCTCCCAGGGCTTTATGGAAGCACAGCTTAGTGTTTGGTGACTCCAAGTTAGCAAAAATGGGGGAAAAAGGAAGGAAAAAAACTGAAAACATTGTTTTGAAGACTTGTAGCCAAGAAAAATTATAATTCAGTCCAAACTGTAGAAAACAATAAAAATTGAAAAACAATAGGCAAGACTAGACTCTATCAACAGGTGCACTATAATTTTTGAAACATAATTTTATCTCTCTCCAGTTTCTCATTTTTACTAAAGACAAATCATGGTAGGGCTGATTTGCTTTATTATACTTAGCTTGATTATTTGTATACAGTGCAGCAATAATAATTATTTTTTTCTTTAAATAGGCTTTTAAATTGGCTTTGATGGAACTTTGTTCCATACAAGGAATCTCAGATAAGACTTTTTTAAAGCTGAGCCCAGCCATGGATTTGTACCATCAAATACCTATGAGTTGGGTGCATTTCCTCTCCTCTTGAGGCTCCAAGATAAACTGGAGCTTACTGGGCCTGTTAGAAAGTGACATTCTTTACTTACTACAGATCAGGAACCCTGTACAGGGACTGTGTAGACAAGGTATGAGGCCAGTTTTCCCGAGGGGCTTTTATTGGCTCCATAAGCCAAGTTTGATTCTTTAAAGGAAAGCACAACATTCCAGTCAAAGCCTTGGTAAAATAACCAGTTACTCCAATTGTGTCCTGTTATAAATGAAAACAGATTCTTATTGCACTTATGCAAATAACTGTACTGCCATAAGTTACGAATACTCACAAATAGTTTCCAAATTCTGGAGAAATCAGATAGAGAGAAACAAGTATGTTCTAAATTTCATTCATAGGAGTATACTAAATTGTTGAAAGCTATCGATAGCTCAAAAGAAAAGTTTCCTTGACTCTGAAAAAAACAAAACAAAGGATTAGCAACATTTTAAGCAAAAAGTAAAAAGATTGCTTCAGTCTTCTATTGGTATAGTCCATGTAGTTTATTCCTGTTCTGTTTGACATTCATGAACATTTCAGTT
The DNA here is from genome assembly GCF_000001405.40 of Homo sapiens. Lineage (NCBI taxonomy): Eukaryota > Metazoa > Chordata > Mammalia > Primates > Hominidae > Homo > Homo sapiens. The sequence continues at coordinate 92,831,524 of NC_000006.12, read as the reverse complement.
CTCCATGAGTCCTAAAAGTTTTTATTCTAGTCTGATGTCACAATCTCCAAAGTTATCAGAAACTTGTATTCAGGAGAACCTGTTAGAGTTGAAAAGCTGATTACAAAACCATCTTCTAAAGAGGACCAAAACAAGACAACAATTGTCCATGGATGACAAAAAGTTTCAGGGCAGCCATAGTCAAGGACACAATTGACAAGGAAATTTGTTACCTCTGTGGCACACAATAATTTAACATAAAATTATTATTATTGGCCAGACATGGTGGCTCATGCCTGTAATCCCAGCACTTTGGAGGCTGAGACAAGCAGATCACCTGAGGTTGGGAGTTTGAGACCAGCCTGGCTAAGATGGTGAAACCCTATCTCTACTAAAAATACAAAATTATCTGGTCATGGTGGTGAGCGCCTGTAATCCTAGCTACTCGGGAGGCTGAGGCAGGAGAATCACTTGAACCCGGGAGGTGGAGGTTGCAGTGAGCCAGATCACGCCACTGCACTCCAGCCTAGGTGACAGAGTGAGACTCTGTATCAAAAAAAATTATAATTATTAATGATAATATACACTAAGTTATATTAGAATTATAGGAGTTTCCCAAAATTTTGGGACACATATAAATAACATTTATACAAATACAGCCAAAAAAACCTAAACCCCATTTCATATTTGACAATGTTTCCTGTATAATTTTTATATCAAATAAGCCAAATTATGTCATTTTTGGAATTTAGGGAACCTAATATCTTAAAGGATTCATTAGGTTAGAAAAAGACATAACTTATAATTTGATTTTGGAAAGTTTGTTAAATATTAAAGGTTTGAAACACTTGATATTATAGGTCATTCTAAAATGTGTTATTCATTTGACCAAAGTGATAACTCAGGGATTTCACAAAAAGGTGAAAACCTTCATTCTTTGGGCAAGGAGACATAATTTTCCAAACAATAATGCCTTATAAAAACAACATTAATTCAATTCAATTAGTTTTTCAAAATTATATAAACAATCCATAAAATTTTAATCTTGACCATGAGATATGACTTCCATAAGCCTTTTATAACCTTAATCATCTTTATTAAGGACTTGGCTAATGTTTTGACAAAACTTTGTTAACCTGACATAGGGGCCCATGTGCTGGTCTTTTATCAGTGTGCCCTTGACATTAATGATTAATTTTTAGAGAAATTTTACTTACTTATCTCTCAAAATTGGCTCTTACAATCTCACACACCTACCTCTTCTGCAATAGTCCTGGGTTTGAGGAGTTGAATAGCTTTAACTTCTGGCTCTGTGTCTCAGAAATACAGTTTATTTTGATTGGCATCTTCTACTGGGCCTGAATATGAGGCTTTAATTGCTGTCAGTGTTTAAGATTTAGCAGGACTTGGTGTCCTTTATAGACCCAGGAGTCAAAGCCCTGTAACATAATGTAACAAGTACTTTAAAAGCACCTACAGAAAGATACGTTGGTATAACAACCTTAATTTATAATTATTTTATCTCAATTTTTTCCTAAGCAATCCAAAATTTAACAATAATAGTATAGGCATTGTTTTGATAAAATGTAAAATATGTTAGGTCAGTTACCAAAAGACAAAAGAAAAGATCTTCTGCACTGCACAGAATTATGCTGGAAGAAAACATTTCCCTTAGACCTTCAAGAAAACACATTGTTAGCATTAGGCCACAACAAACAGAACTCGAGGAAAAAACTCACCTGAACTGAAAATGAATTAACAGAGGGCATCCTTCTTTCTTAAACAACCAGTCATTTATGTTATTTTATTATTTATTTATTTATTTATTTATCTATTTATTTATTTATTTATTTATTTATTTATTTATTTATTTTTTTAGATGGAGTCTCGCTCTGTTGCCAGGCTGGAGTGCAGTGGTGTGATCTCTGCTCACTTCAACCTTCACCTCCCAGGCTCAAGTGATTCTCCTGCCTCAGCCTCCCGAGTAGCTGGGACTACAGGCGCATACCACCAAGCCCAGTGAATTTTTGTATTTTTAGTAAAGACGGGGTTTCACCATGTTGGCCAGGATTGTCTTGATCTCTCGACCTCATGATCTGCCTGCCTTGGCCTCCCAAAATGCTGGGATTATAGATGTGAGCTACTGTGCCCATCCCCAGTCATTTATTCTAGGACTAAAACTACCATCCTAGATTCTTTCTCATATAAAATTATATCTCTTTAGGCTTTCTTACAAAAAAAATCTTTCTTTACATCTCTCTTATTTCCTGGTTCCTTTGACCTTGTTTCGTAAATAACCTTTAAATAAATTTTGAATCAGACAAAAATTATTTGCCTTTTTAAAAGGAACACTTTTTTTTGTAAAGAATGTTTTCGAATGTTTTCCTACAAATATATTTTTATTGGAAATATCCAAATAATAAAGTATTTATTATTTAATTCATTATAACTGTAGATTCTAAATTATGATGAGTTTGTCTACATGTATTTATCCCATTACATTTACCTAAGTATTTTATTTTAATCATTTAGATTTTTTATGAAAACTGCAATAGTCATCATTTTAAGTTATGGAGCCACCATTGCAAAAGTATAACTGAGACAGTGAAAATGATCTGTCCTAACTGACTCCATCTTGCTTCTAACCTCCAAGCTGTCTTTGTTCATTCCTGAGTGTAGGCTGAACTAACTTTGGGAGGAACTTAGTTTACAGTTTAGCTCTGAAACACAGTCAGTAACAGTCCCTTTCTAAAACAAACCTTACTTCCTGTGGACTAGACCACCTAAATCCACAAGATTAGAAGTTATGATAGTCTTACTAAATTCAAGACATAGGTATTTTTATTAAACCAATGTCAATGTTTTCTTTATTAAAAATTATACAGACAAAGATCATTCTGTTTGGGGCCAGGTTTATAGTTTTGTAACCCCTATGCCAAATTTTGACGTCATATAGTATTTGGCAGGGATAAGTGTAAAATTGCTTGATTGATAAATGCAAACAAGGCCGGGCATGGTGCCTCATGCCTGTAATCTCAACACTTTGGGAGGCCGAGGCAGGCGGATCACAAGGTCAGGAGATCGAGACCATCCTAGCTAATATGGTGAAACCCTGTCTCTACTAAAAATAAAAAAATAAAAAAAATAGCCAGTGTGGTGGCAGGTGCCTGTCGTCCCAGCTACTCAGGAGGCTGAGGCAGGAGAATGGCGTGAACCCGAGAGGTGGAGCTTGCAGTGATCCGAGATTGAGCCACTGCACTCCAGCCTGGGTGACAGAGTGAGACACTCTCTCAAAAAATAAAAAAATAAATGAATACAAATAAATACATAAACAAATGCAAACAAAAAAGTATGCTGACAGTTCTTACGAGATTTCTAATATACTTTACCAATAATTTTAAAGCTAATTTATTTATTAAAGATTTTACTTGTTACATAAACTTGAAAAAGTATTTGACTAGTTCTTTTTTTTCTGATAAAGTATTTGATTTAAGCACTTTTATGTTCTTAAGCCAATTAATTAGAGCTCTTTTATGAATTTTCAGTAGTGAAACATTGTATCCATAACATATAAACACGTAGACATATTAGGTATACTGGTAGAAGTACATTTTGTAGATACATTATAAGATATGGAGAGAAAAAGCCTCGTGTGCTAGAACATAAAATTATGTAACTTATAAAGGCCTTTTAAGTGTATACATACACCTATAAAATCCTGTAAGATCCTATAGGATCCTATAAGATCCTATAGCTTTTACTTCAGAACCTTAGCCATGAGATAAATACAAATTTGCCAGGTTGCAAAAAGAACCTGTTGGGTTTAAAAAGTGGTTTTTATTTTAATAGAAAAATAGCAGAGTTAAAGCAGGTAGAAAAGAAAAAAAATAGAGAAAAAGAGGACTTAGGAACTCTACAGTTTGCAGGTTGACCTTAGGGCTTTTTCCTTAATGTAAATATGCACAAAGACCATATTACTTCCATTTTACATAAACCCTGGCAAGTAGAAGTGCCATAAAACCTATGCAGTGCTTGAATGGGGGTAATTTTCCTTGTTTTCTCCTTATTCTTAGATTATTTGTTTTCCACTTTTTTTTTCTTAAAATGAGGAACTGAGCTGTGGCCTAGGAATTTTGTGTAGTAGATTGACCTGTGCTGCTTGTGTGCAGGACTCCACAGTGTGCTGCCGTTGAGTCATTTACACCCTCTTACTTGACTCAGTTTCTCTTTCCAGACGTCAATGAATTCTGAGAGGGCTCAACATGCCAGGTGATTAGCCCATATATGTGTTTCCTGAATGACTCTTTGTTTAAAACTAATTTTTGTTGGGGATTTCCTTGTAGGGCTGCTGCATGTCACTGGAGGTCACCTTTCATCTGGGAGAAGCAAATGCCTTTTGTCTTCAGAGCTGAAAAAACTCAGTCTTTCATTTACCTATGAAAGCAACAGTTCAGTTCCTCATGCAAATGTGCACAGACAAGCTGAATGGAGATTAATTTGGGGAGAAAAAGTAAGGGGAGAAAACCCCTTAGAATGCATCTCCGAACTAGAATTCGGATCCTTAAACAACAATTGCGTAGGAGAAAAACAACAACAATAACAACAGCCAAGACCACTTCCTGTAAACTGTGCTCTGCCACTCCTACTTTGCAGCTGTCATGCACCATTACACGTGCCAAGGTCAAATCCTCTCACAGAACAATGTAATCTCTGGTAGTCTCAAAATCAAAGAGTTCAGGTCATGCAATACAGGAAAACCGAACTTTAGACCTAAGAAGAACCTGCCTATGACTCTTGAAAATCCACACAGTAAACAGAACACCCCAAAAGTGGTGAGTAGCATCTTTGTTCTGAACTCTTTAAAGGGGTTCAAATCACTAGAAGCCTTCTCTAGATTTTTTGGTACTACAGATGGCAAAGGGGGAAGAAGGTATAGGGTGGAAGAAAAGTAAATGAAAGAACTTTTGTTTTGTTTTGTTTTTAAGACAGAAAGCAAAGACAGAAACCAACAGCATGTTTTTGTTTTTGTTTCCTCTTTTGCAGCTGCAAGGAATTTTGGCCAAATTAGAGCGGCTTTGATACCCATAATTTGGAATTCTCATTCCAATTTGACCAAGTCAGATAAAGTTGGTCAAATCTGATGGGGGAAAGACTAGAACAAACAACAGCAGCAGCAACAACAACAAAACCCCAATAATATGATCACTGAGCACCCTAATGAAAAGAATAAATTAATACTACCCCAATTAGGCTACTTACCTAGGAATGGGTCTTAGGCTGAAGACTGCTTTCTACCATCCTAGAAGCAGGGAAAAAACAACCAGAAACAAAACAAAAAAACAAACTCATCTTTCTTGCTGTGAGTGAACTCAAACTCCATAAAGGGGTTACCTGCCTTTGATCATCACGGAAACAGGAAATTTTGCCTTCCTTGTTGGAAGCAACTAAAACTCCAAAAGAAAAAAAAGGAATTATAAAGCAAAATAAACTTCAGGTCTTGACCAAATTTTGGGAAACCAGGGATTCTCTCGAGGGGGTGCTCCCAGACCTCAGCCAGGTGTCCTATTGGTTTGGGCCATAAAGTTAGCTCATGCTGGTACCAAGCACCAACAAGAGATTTATCAAGGGTCAGGGCATCTTCACTCAGAAACCCTCCATGGTTACCAAAATGTGAACTCTGAAAATCTGAGACAGGTCTCAGTTAATTTAGAAAGTTTATTTTGTTAAATTTGAGGTTGCGCACCTGTGACACAGCCCCAGGAGGTCCTGTCGACATGTGCCCAAGGTGGCTAGAGGCACAGCTTGGTTTTATACATTTTAGGAAGACATGAGACATCAATCAATATGTGTAAGATGCACATTGGTTCAGACTGGAAAGGTGGGACAACCCGAGGTGAAGGTGGGACAACTCCAAGAGAGGAGGGGCCTTCCAGGTCATAGGTAGGTAAGAGACAAATGGTCGCATTCTTTTGAGTTTCTGACTAGCCTCTCCAAATGAGGCAACCAGATATGCATTTATTTCAGTGAGCAGAGGGGTGACTTTGAATAGAATGTGAGGCAGGTTTGCCCCAAGCAGTTCCCAGCCTGACTTTTCCCTTTAGGTTAGTGATTTTGGGGACCCAAAGATTTATTTTCCTTTCACAGTATTCTATGCATAGAAGCCACATGATAAATGTGTATGGATTATGACAGAGTGTCTTTCTAAAAATAAAGCACAAAATTTAAAATATTTTTGCAGGGTTTGTCCCTTCTCCACCTCTATGGAAAACTTTAGTAGATAAGAAAATTAAGAACTAGAAACCTTTCCTTGTTTCCTCACCTCTAACATTTATTAGTTGGATTACTGTGGGCAATTAGGTTAGCCTCTTCATGCCTGTGTTTTCCCATTTGTAAAACAAAAATAATAATATGTAGCTTATAAGAATATTGTGAAGCACAATTAATGTTTGTAAAGTAGTTTTTAACAACCTCAATGTCATAGAAATGTAAAATAGCCTTAATTTAAAATTTAAAACTATGTATGTATAATGATTCATTTAATAAACATGCAAAGAACTGTTTATACAAATTTACATGTGTGAATCAGGTTTGCAGTATTAACAGTTTATTTTAACTTGGAAATAGACTTTGCTCATTTTTGACATTTTGCATTTGCATTTTGATATCTCCTTCTAACAATGACTACTTATATGATCCATATGGGTCAGTGGTCCTCAACCCTGTCTGACAATTAGTGTATGCTTTAGAAATACACTGATGGTAAGTTTTAGAATATACTGATGATGAGACTTCAGCTGAGCAAATTAAATCAACTCTCTGGGGGTAAGGAGCTCAGGAACGGGCATTTTAAAAAACTCAGATGATTCTAATATGAAGCTGAGATTGAGAATGACTAATACGTACCTGGATGTGTATGTACATCATCATAAGACCTGCTTAATTTGGAGCTTTTAACAAGCTTCAGCTTGATAAAAACTTCATCTATAATGTATTTAAATACATTTTGATTGACATTTTGAACAGCATGTTAAGGTTGAGGTAAAAGATCTCAAAATTCTCTTTTGGCCATAATATTTAATGAATCAGTGATGCTCTTTTTAAATTTGTCAAATGAAATAGCACAAAGCCCTGTAAGCTCAGCTATTACTCATCAAAGAAACAGGGGTGCTTACATTTGTTTCCACAGACTTGTATTTGTCTACTTGAATGCAGGCATATGCTAAACAGAATGTTTATGTAAAATCATATTGTTACCAGACAGGAGTCCAGTTCCAGGCCCCAAGAGAGGGTTCTTGGATCTCGCACAAGAAAGAATTCAGGGTGAGTCTACAGTACAAAGCAAGTTTATTAAGAAAGTGCAGTGGCTCATGCCTGTAATCCTAGCACTTTGGGAGGCCGAGGTGGGTGGGTCACCTGAGGTCAGGAGTTCGAGACCAGCCTTGCCAACATGGTGAGACCCCCCCCATCTCTACTAAAAATACAAAAATTACCTGGGCGAGGTGGTGGGCACCTGTAATCCCAGTTACTTGGGAGGCTAAGGCAAGAGAATTGCTTGAACCCAGCAGGCAGAGGTTGCAGTGAGCAGAGATCGTGCCACTTCACTCCAGTCTGGGTAAAAGAGCGAAACTCTGTCTAAAAATAAATAAATAAAATTTAAAAATTAAAAAAATAAAGCAAAGGAATAGAAGAACGGCTACTTCATAGGCAGAGCAGCCCCAAGGGCTGCTGGTAGCCGATTTTGGGGGGGTAATTTCTTGCTTATATGCTAAACGAGGGGTGCATTATTTATGCCTCCCCTTTTTAAGTCATACAGGGTAACTTCCTGACATTGCTGCGGGGAGTGTAGAAGTGAGAACAATCCGAGGTCACTCTATTTGGCATATTGGTTTTGGTGGGTTTTAGCTGGATTCTTTATTGCAATCTGTTTTATTAGCAAGGACTTTATGACCTGCATCTTGTGCCAGCCTCCTATCTCATCCTGTGACTTAGAATGTCTAACCCTCTGGGAATGCCGCTCAGTAGGTCTAGCCTTATTTTACTCAGCTCCTATTCAAGATGGACGCACTCTGGTTCAAATGCCTCTGAGAATACGTCATAAGGTATATAACGCACCTCACAATAATATTAGCTTTATGTAAGACATACAATTTTATGAATTACCTTTTCCATTTTAAAATACAAGTTGATTTCAGGTGTCCCTAAGCTGATTTCTACATCTCCTTTCTCTACTACTCACTGATGAAGGAGCATATTTTATTTTAAAATTAGGCTTTGAAAATATACTTAGATAGCACTTATTATAAATAATTATATTTACATATGAGACATCTATTATTTTATTTTCAGATCTGATATTCCATTTTCAAGTAAATTTTAGAAAGCTGGTTTTATGCTTTATGTTTAAATGAACATGAGTAGAGAGATGTAGGCATAAATATATGTATATTTGTGTGTGTGTGTGTGTGTGTGTAATATATACCTTTGAAAGTCTGTATCCTCACCCAATTAGCACATTTTAATAATTCTTCTTGAAATTGTTTGATGTAAAAAGGGGTCAAGAATCCAACTAGAATATGGCCATGTTCAAATCAGCTGCTAGCTTTTTAAATTACATTTCAAAGTGGATAGAAATTTGAATTTTGATTATGAAAAATGTGGCTTTTGTTCATCTTGGGGTAAGTACATTCATTTTAAATGATTAAGTTTTTAAAAAAAATGCCCTTTTGCTTCCAAGGCAGGAAAACTTAACTTCTACTTTTGATGTACAATATTATCTCTTTTCTTTAGTATTTTTTCTTAATAAGTGATTTAAAAATTCAAGGTTTCTAGCCAGAAGTGTATAGCATTTTTACAGAATACTTTCTGAATGATCACAGATCATGCTCACAGTTCCTAATTATTCATCATGACATTTAAAACCAATCCACTTGCCTTCATAGGAATAGCATTATAATGTGATGTTCAGATTTGCTAGAGACGACATTTTTCTCCCTTTGTTACATTTTGTTAACAACCTGTCCAGTACAGCATAATTTTTGCTTTGATACCAATTAAGCAAATTGCAGTACAGCTATAATCCAATTGCAGATGATTGATGTGAAACCATAGTTTATCATAATACAGTGATATAAAACACAGCAAAAAGAACAAATGAGCTGTGAGGGTACAGATATTTGCTGAACTATTTACATGATTAATGTTCCTATAATGTTTGCATTCTTATTATCGTACGTCATCTGTATGTTTTTAGCCTTTTTCCCCTGACCAAAGCAACCTCGATGTTGTAGAATAAAAAGTAGAATATCTCAAAGAAAAATTACACTAGAACAATAAAATAGTACCCAAGTATTATCTATGGAACAAGCAAATCACTCCTCAAATAGTTTAATTCTAGCTTAATTTAGATTAAAAGGCTGTTTGAAATGGTGGAATTTTCTTTATAAAATGACATAAACCAACTTTTTATTTTCTTTCCCTAAATGATATGGCGTACTTCAAACACAAACTGCAATACTATGTTTTCTTATGAAGTCAATGAAAAAGTCCATTAAGTATTAATAATACCATATCCTTAATAGCCAATGACATCTTCTTCTTTTTGAGATGGAGTCTCGCTCTGTCTCCAGGCTGGAGTGCAGTGGCGTGATCTCAGCTCATTGCAACCTCTGCCTCCCGGGTTCAAGCGATTCTACTGCCTCAACCTCCCGAGTAGCTAGGACTACAGGCATGCACCACCATGCCCAGCTAATTGTTGTGTTTTTAGTATATGGGGTTTCACCATGTGGTCCAGGGTGGCCTCGATCTCTTGACCTCTTGATCCACCTGCCTTCGCCTCCCAAAGTGCTGGGATTACAGGTGTGAGCCACCGTGCCCAGCCCAAAGACACCTTCTTACTGGCATTTTTTTATTAAAAATTTAAAAAGGAATATTTTGAAACAATGGTTAATCGGGTTTGATTCATAAAGTCATGGTTGTGAGCTTTTTGTTACTTTTACTCCTGATCAGCCCAAAACAGAAAGCTGTCAACTGTGTGTTTTGTCCCTACAACTGTTCATGGGTTTTATTATGATTTAACATTCTTAGAATCTTATCTGAAGATACAGATTTTCTCTGTGACAGTTAACTTACTTAGAATGTACTGTCAGGAATTACTAATTGGTAAAGATTTTTAATACCTTTAATGCTCCTCTTTTAGGCTGCTCAATTTACATCTTTTTATTGTATTTCTTATAATTTTGTACAGTCCCTCTATCACATGCAGGTTGTTCTTGAATTCCACGTTGTATAAACCATATGTGCATCTGAGTGTCATAACATTTTGCAGAACTGAATTGGTAATATATTTATGCACTAAAGCAGGTATTATTATTTTTTAAATTGATCTTGAATACAGAAAATGTCATACATATTTGCTAGTGTTTAAAGGTTTCAATCCCACTGAGTTTTGAAAGATACAAAAACGTTTCTGAATTTTTCAGTATCTTTTCCCCTCTTTTTCTTTCTTGTAATTCTTGCTGATTTTTGCTACTCTTAGAACAAGAAGTCTGCTTAGTGTGAGAATGTAAATCCCTTTCCAAACGTCATTCTGAAAGAAGGCTAGATTTGCTCCCTGGAAAGCAAGCATTACCCATTTCAAGCCAAATAAATGACAGTTATGGAAAAGGCAGCCTGGAAACGACATGAATTTGGCTATATTTCATCTCCACGAATGCAATGCTTCATAAATATGGAGGACTGACAATGTCGACAAACCCCTCTGTGTTAAATGATGCTACATAGCTTTGGCCTGCTGGGAGACAATAGCAGCGGGAACAATCTGGCATTGAGCAACCGGAAATGGAGTGGTTCTTTATGAGCAAAAGCATTGACCATGATTCAAAAAGGCAGAGATGCAAACTGTGCCAGGTTGTGCAGAGAGTAACTATAGCTCTAAAGCCAAGGATAATACTTCCCCTTGTGCTACATGGAATGGACCATTGGTCAGTTGAGTCAAGCCTCAAACACATGTATGATCAAAAAAAAAATTTGTTAACTGTTACTATTGGGAACCCAATCCAAAATTACATTCTTGGCATGTTCAAGATGTGACACTGGCAGATCAAGATTAGAATCTAGGCATGCTTCACTCAGAAATATTTTTTGAAAGCATATGTTAACCATGTAATGCTATAAACACTCAAGGATTTCTTTACATATATATGTGCTTGTGATTTGTTTTATCATAGAATAAAGACAAAATACCTCTTCAACTGTAACTCAACAAATATTTATTGAATATACACTATATTTCAAGCAACCAAATAGTTCCTGAATTTAGGGAATGAACACCAAGAAACCTAGTTTTTAGGTACTATTCTATTACTATTTTCCAAATCTATTTCAATCTACTTTTTCTTTTCGGGATTCTGGTTGCCAAAATATGTAATGAGATAGTTAAATGAGATGATTTTTAAGGTAACTTTCCAAGCAAAAATTCTATAGTTCTGTTCAGAACTATTCACTGTATAATGACACGCTTATTTATATTGTGTGTTTTTGAAATTTTCAGGTGTCAGGTTTTTTCAAATTATATAAAATCCCCCTTTTAAAGAATTGTTTGTAGCTATGTTTAGTAAAACTATGGAGAGTAGCACATAAATATTTGATGGGCATTTGGAGGGACATCGATACATTTCAACATAGAATAAGGACAAAATACATCTTCAACAGTAACTCAACAAATATTTATTGAGTATATACTATAAGCCAAGCAACTGAGCCATTCCTGAATTTGGGTAATGAACACCAAGTAAACTTATGTCAGTCCATCTCTAATTATGTCCTCTAAAAGAGATGAAATTGTAGCTTGCCAGAATTACAAAATCGTGTTTAAAACATATAGGAAGAATTTCAAAATGGATTTCTCTGCTACGTCTACCAAGAAAAGCAAATAAAAGGAAACAGTTTTTTTGATAATGTATAGTTATAACAGTAAGTATGCAAACAAGTAAAATACTCAGTGTTTCAGGTTTCATGCAATAGATATTATATATACCAAGATGTATAAGACAATGACAAGCTATATTGGTAAAACAAAGAAAAAAGAAGATAAGATATTTGGCAAACATCAGCATAATTGCCAAGCACATGGGCTAAATATTTATATAATTTGGTTAGAATTACTTTTGTTATGGCCAGGAGCTGTGGCTCATGCCTGTAATCCCAGCACTTTGGGAGGCTGAGGTGGGTGGATCACCTGAGGTCAGAAGTTCGAGACCAGCCTGGCCAACATGGTGAAACCCTGCCTCTACTAAAAATACAAAAATTTGCTGTGTGTGGTGGCACGTGCCTGTAATCCCAGCTACTCGGGAGGCAGAAGTAGGAGAATTACTTGAACCTGGGAGGTGGAGGTTGCAGTGAGCCAAGATTGTGCCATTGCACTCCAGCCTGGGCAATGGAGCAAGACTCCATCTCAAAAAAAAAATTACTTTTGTTATATATTAGTTTAAGATTTTTTTGTTCATATAATATATTTAATATTTCTATATCTAGTAAGTGAAAATTGCAATACATTAAAATAAATAAAAATGGTTAAATTAGAAATTATTAATATGTTATGAGCCCACCCAGCATTTCCATCCAGAAATGAGGAGAAAGACGAAGTTGCAAAGGAGATAGCTAAAGAAAATTCTGGCAAATCACAAATAAACCTAATTTAATGCGATAAAGATAAGGTAGGAGTACACTATTCATTTATTCAATAAATAGTCATTGAGCATTTTTTATATGTTAGACACTATTCTAGGACTGGACGTAGAAAGGGTGCAGAAGGCAGACAAGGTTCCTGCTCTCATGGAGCTTTCTATCTAGTTAGTGGAACAAGGGAGGCAGGCTGAAGTTAATCAAAATACAGGAAGCAAAGAAGAAAATATATTTTCATGATGATTGTTACACAAAAAAACAGAATAGGGTGATGTGCTGGATTGAAAGAGAGGGCTAGTTAAAGTCAAGGGATCAGTATAGTTTTCAGGTGAGGATTAAGCTGATCTCTAATGATAAGAAGAAGCTGAGGGAAAAGCCTTTCAGGCCAATGCAAAAATGATGACGGGAAGAGTATCTCGAGAAGGAAGAGTGAAAAAGACTTAGGGACAGGAACAAGCTTTTCATATTCTAGGAATAGAAGAAAGGTCATTATTGCTGGAATTTAAGAAATGAGGGAAGACGGGTGTGAGATGAAGACAGAGGAATATGGGAACAGATAAACACTGAGATTGCAAAACTGGGAAAAAAGGTAGATTTTATTCTAACTAACACTGGTAGTTGTGAAAAGGCTTAATGCAGGGAGAGTGAGAAGATCCAGTTAGTTTAAGACAACTGGCTCCTGTGTAGATCATTTGTTGGGGGATGGTGTTGGATGGGGCTTCTCCAGGAAGTCAGGGTGGAAGAACGGCCGCTAGACAACAGGAGATAATAATGATTTATGCACAGGTGGTTTGGAGGAAATGGAAAGAATTGCATTTGGGATATGATCTGAAGATGAATACCTTTCTAATTCTTGGATGAGTGGAGTGAGATCAAGAAGACTCTAAGAAAGATTCTGTGTTTAGCTATATAATTTTCTATTCTATCTATAAATGGCTTTTTCCCCCCTACAGTTTCCACTATAGCTTGTAACTTTGCTCACTTCATTTATTCACTTATTATCTTTTTCTTTCTGTACTCGACCCCTTAATGCTTCTGTTGGCATCTCTACTAACAGGGATACACTATGCCAAAAGGTTCTCCATTGTGTGCTTACCTAGTTCTGTATAGGGAATGAGCCCAATTATTTTCTCTAAGGAAGCCCACTGTTTTGGAGGGGAAAACAGGCTTTACTGGCTGAGTTAAAACCGGAAGGCCATTATCTTAGGAATCAGCATTCTAGTCTACACCTCTTGAATCTATCTTAGTTATCTCTAGGAAAACTCAAATAAATAACTCAAACCTGGAATAAAAATAATGGCAGGAAAGGTCATTTACTTTTGCTTCCTACAGTGGATTACAAAACACACTATGGACGTAAAGAATGAAAATCTCAATACAAAATATATGTAATGAATTGATTGTTTACATTATACTGCAGGATTGAGAAGGGAAATGAAGAGCAACAATGTGCAAAGTCTCTCAGGTGGAAAGAATGAGTATAGAAGCAAACTTTCTGAATATTATTCAGTGCTTCATATAGATAGAAAGAGGTATCATTATTTTTCAACCACTGAAGCTAGTGGAATAATTTTCATTATTCCTGTGCATGGCTGAAACATTGAATGTGAGGAGCAAGAACTGCTCTTTATTACCACATACAATTTAAGTCATTTTGTTAGAAGGCGCTCTCTGCCTCCAGATATCATATATATTGCTAGCTAATTTAAGTGTTTTTAAATATTAGAAGTTACTCAATAAATTTAACTAGCGGTACCTATTTGCCTTAAAAAGAATTGGTGATAAGTATTCTATGTATTTACATACTTGTTTAAAAGATTGAGACTAGAGAGCAAAGAAAGTAAGTGACAGAAGTGACCAAATATAATTAAGTGATATAAAAAACGATATATCTGATATTATAATGGAAGTCAAGGAGGCAATTACTACTTTTTGGTTGTATAATTTTTTTAACTTTTATTTTAAGTTTTGGGGTACATATAAAGGTTTGTTACAAAGGTAAACACAGGGGTTTGTTGCACATATTATTTCATCACACAGGTATTAAGCCCAGTACCCAATAACTATCTTTTCTGCTCCTCTCTGTCCTCCCACCCTCCCCACTCAACTAGAACCCAGTTTGTGTTGGTCCCCTCTATGTGTCCATGTGTTCTCATCATTTAGCTCCCACTTATAAGTGAGAATATGTGGTATTTGGTTTTCTGTTCTTGCATTAGTTTGCTAAGGATAATAGCCCCCAGCTACATCCATGTTCCTACAAAGGCATCATCTTTTTCTTTTTTATGCCTGCATAGTATTCCATGGTGTATATGTACCACATTCTCTTTATCTTTCCAATCTGTCATTGATAGGCATTTAAATTGATTCCTTGCCTTTGCTATTGTGAATAGTGCTGCAGTGAACATTTGCGTACATGTGTCTTTATGGTAGAATGATTTATATTTCTCTGGGTAAATACCCAGTAATTGGATTGCTAGGTTAAATGGTAATTCTGCTGTTAGCTCTTTGAGGAATCTGCACACTGCTTTCCACAATGGTTGAACTGATTTACACTCCCACCAACAGTGTATAAATATTCCCTTTTCTCCACAACCTCACCAGAATTTGTTATTTTTAGACTTTTTAATAACTGTAATTCTAACTGGTGTAAGATGGTATCTCTTTATGGTTTTAATTTGCATTTCTCTAATGATCAGTGATGTTGAGCTTTCTTCAATATTCTTGTTGGCCATATGTCTATCTTTTGAAAAGTGTCTCTTCATGTCCTTTGACCATTTTTTATTAAGGTTGTTTTTCTCTTGTAAATTTAAGTTTCTTATGGATGGTGGATATTGGATCTTTACCAGAGGGAGTTTGCAAATATTTTCTCCCATCTGTAGGTTATCTCTTTACTCTCTTGATAGCTTCTTTTGGTGTGCAGAAGCTGTTAAGTTTAATTAGATCCCATTTGTCAATTTTTGCTTTTGTTGCAATTGCTTTTGGTGTCCTTGTCATGAAATATTTGCTTGTTCCTATGTCCAGGATGATATTGCCTAAGTTGTCTTTCAGGGTTTTTTTGTTTTTTTTATAGTTTTGGGTTTTACATTTAAATCTTTAATCCATCTTGAGTTGGTAAAACAATGTTTCACAAGTAAACCTTTAGAAACATATTTAATGAGCAATACATAATGCTTTACAATTTTACGAAAAGTATTTAGTATTGTTATGATAATCATTTGTGTGTTGGCAGTCTTCTTCCATTTAGACATTGTTGGAAACCCTACCATGGTTTCCATAACTCATGTTTCTTCTATAACTTAATTATACCACACTATTTTTTTTATAGAATAAAAACTTTTTAATTTGCTTGATTCTGTTAACTCTTAAGGATTACCTCTTAGCTCTTAAAGATTACCTTAAAGAATATGCTAACAGTTTAGATAAAGTATGTATTCATGAGTTATAGGACAAAAGAAATCTGAGCAATGAGAGGGTATAGTACCTCTAAATCTCTTTCTTAGAGATTAATCATACTATTTCAATATTTTGTGGCACTCATTCTCTTTATTGTCTTACTAAATTGGGACAACATTCTCTCTTAGTGATTCCTTTATTGGGGTCATAGTTTAAATTGAATACCAGAATTTTTTCTCCCTATATTATATGAGAAATAAGCCTTTTCACCGTATTAGAGAACTTTCATTATAGCAATATGTTTTGAAATTGTGAATTTCTATAATACATAACTTTTATGTTCTACATTCATTGTATGTTGCAAAATGAAAAATTATTTTCAATAATGCCTTACTGTTGTTGAAAAAGCTGTCTCATTTTCTAGTCATTTATGTTTTTTTTTTTTTTTTTTTTTTTGAGACGGAGTCTCGCTCTGTGGCCCAGGCGGGAGTGCAGTGGCGCAATCTCGGCTCACTGCAAGCTCCGCCTCCAGGGTTCACGCCATTCTCCTGCCTCAGCCTCCCGAGTAGCTGGGACTACAGGCGCCCACCATCACGCCCGGCTAATTTTTTTTGTATTTTTAGTAGAGACGGGGTTTAGTCATTTATGTTTTGATATTATAAGTGATTTTTTCTTATTTATGTATTATTTTAAAACATTTTTATTGCACGATCCTAAAAAAGCATTAATCGAAGGGTACACTGCTTATTTAATAATAATTTTTCAGAAAAAAAGAACCCTATCCCATTAATTGTGCACATCAATTCTAAGAGGGTTTCCAATTCCAAATACTTTAAGATGTGATTTTATGACTGGGTGTGGTGGCTCATGCCTGCAATCCCAGACCCCTGGGAGGCCAAGGTGGGTGGATCACTTGAGTCCAGGAGTTCGAGACCAGCCTGACCAACATGGCAGAAACCCGTTTCTACAAAAACTACAAAAAATTAGTCAGGCATGGTGGCACGTGCCTGTAGTTTCCGCTACTTGGGAGGCTGAGGCGAGAGACTTTCTTGACCTGGGAGACAGAGGCTATAGTAAGCTAAGATCATGCCACTGCACTCCAGCCTGGGAGAAAAGACTGAGGCCTTGTCTCAAAAATAAAATGAAATAAAATAAAATAAAAAATAAATTATCTTAGAATTGAGGAGATAGTGTAATTTGTCTATTACCCCTTTTATTCACAAATATCATTAACTTTATATCTAAGGACAAATAATGGGAAAATGAAGATTTTATGTATTTAAACTTCCTAATTTATGTTAATATCAGAATCTTTAAAAAGTTGCCGTTAGTATCAAATAATGAGATTGAGTAATGTATTGCCTAAAACACATTTCCAGAAATAATATTTTAATTCTAAAAATCTGGTTTTAGTTGGGAAAATGCTTCCTGTTATTTGGGAAAGTAAGAACCTCAACAAGCTAGTCAGACACAAGGGAGCAGTGGTGGCCATGGTCTCCAACACAGCCTGACGAGAGCATCACAGAGGGACCACAGAGTTCTTCCTTGGACTATGATAGTAACTGTTAGCATTCATTATGTACTTTGTTTGAGCAGGTCTTCCATGATGCCTCTGACATATCCATGTGCCATCATCTTTCATTCAGATTCCTCCAATAGTCTCCTGACTGGCCTTATTGTAGTCTATTTTCCATGTTGCAACCAAAAACATAATCTTTTTAAAGACAAATTAGATCATGCTACTTCTTATAACCCCTCCATAGCTATGAGCATCTCTGAAAATAAAAGTAAACTTATCTGAAAATAAAAGTAAAATATAGTTGTCATTCTTATGTTATTTTTCACCCTAATCTAGGGAATATGCAGTTCAAGAACAAGGGCATTGTCTATTTTTTTTAACTTCTAAATTCTCAGTTTCTGGAAGGTTGTCTGGCACTTCGCAGGTGAGCAAGTAGTTAAGTGATGAAGGAACCATAAGTAAGATGCTGCCAAGGGGCAAGATACAATAAAACATATTTCTTGGTGTTTGTTAGCTGTCGCTCTCTTAATTTTTCTCATTCAGATCTAGGTAGCAGTTGGGTCAATTTGCATACTATTTCTTCAGGTTTCTCGGAAGGGAATAAAATCCAAATCTTTTCTCCAGGACTCAGAGTAAGGATGACTGGTCAGGGAGGATTAGAGTTGCCCAAAGCAAGGCTACATGGCAGGGAAGAAGAGGTACCTAAATCAAAGGAAATAAGTCTACTGACTTATTCAACGGACGGGTCTACGTGTTGATGTCATGATTTGTGGTGGGTGTTGAAAGCTTTCCTAGACTCAGTTAACCCAGTGCATTGTTTGAGCTTTGAAAAACAGTGGCTTCATTAATTAGGAATGCTACAATTTCAAAACCCAAGACTGAGGCTCCCAGGTAGCCAAGATACTAGAGGTAAGAAAGATCTTCAATAAAGAGATAACCAGGAGGCTTAGAAAGTTTATGCCCAAATACTTAAATTATATCAGAGCCCACATTCAATTTTGTGTCTTTCATATTCAAAAATCCAAGAGTTTTCTAAAAACATCACATTGTCATAGAACACAAGAAGGTTTGAAGGATAATGTATAGAATTTTTGCTTGTACTTGACACATACTTTGGTTTATTTAAAAGATCTATTGCTAAAGGGAGATATATTCAAAGGTGTGTTTGAAGCCCAGTGTCAGGAACTTAAAACTTTCATAGCAAGGTAGACCATCCTGCACAGCTAGCAGCCTGGGTCCCACAGAGGTCACTCAGGATGTGTACACTCCAATTCAGGGTAAAATATCCCTCCTGTGCATGCAGAACTGCCTATCTCCGCCAATGTGGATAACCAGGTGTTTCCTTTGGTTCTTTCACTCAGCTTATCTTTTCTTTGGACAAATGTCATGAATATGTCCAATCAGAGTAAAGGCCCCACTTAGCATTCTTGCTGGCATCAAGCTCAATACATACGGTAGAAGCTTAACAATGCAGAGCTGCTTTTTTTTTTAAAAAATGCCTGTTGTAAGCAGGTTCTTCCTATGAAATATACCAGTCTGCAACTTATATTAGTGACTGTATATTTTAAAGGCTCATTGCAGCCTTCTAGTGATTGTGCCAGAAACCAGATTTAATGACCTTCAGCAACAAGTTTCCTCTGAAAGGTGAAATATACTGGCACTCGGAGTTGGGGCACTGGGTATCTGTTTAGATTGGGGTTAGGAGACTATAGGTAGTTTCAACTCAAACGCCTTAATGATCCCAATGTCTGTCCTTTTCCTGAGCTAAGAATCATAAATTCTTGTTCCACAATGAGTGCTCTGGGGACCAGCAGCTCAGCATCACCTGGGAGCCTGTTAGAAATGCAGAATCTCAGGCCTTACCCTGGACCTACTGAACTAGAACTGCAGTTTAACAAGGTCCCCAGGTGGTTATATACACATTAGAGTTTGAGAAGCTGTGCTCTTGGTCAGCATTTCTGACTCTTGGTGCACATGAAAATCACCTGAGGAACTTTTCAAATTCCTATGCCCAGGCCCATTCTAAACCAATTAAATTAAAATCTCCAGATGGGGTCCTGGTAGTGTTTTAAAAATATGCCAGGTGATTTCAATATGTGGCTAACATGCAGAACCATTTTTCTTGATTATAGGAATTCCTCTGGTTTTTATTTACAAAAATGATTGTGATTTGTATGATTTATTTATCTGTGATAACAGAAACACTATCCATTATTTCATATTCTTGTTTATAAAAAGTATGTAAAATATATATTACATAGTATATAAAATAAAATAAAAATTAATAAAAATATATTTCGGCAAACATTACATGGAAATGTACTCAGGAATTACATTCTTGTGCATTGATTGTGTAGAAATATGTTTAACGAGTAACTTAATCATTGCTATTTTTCAAGTAATATAAGTGAGTTCTTTTCACCTGAACTTGGCAGCTGTGGGCATGTTTTTCATTCTAACTACACTGTAGAATAGATATCCAGCTACAAAATGTTGAATAAAATTTACCTACAACCATTGTAGCTTGTTGAAGAGATTTAGCTTAGTTGCTAAAATGTCAGATGCAACCCTGTAAGTGGGTTGCTTTTAAAAATCTCCCCTGCAGGCTTACCTTTCCTTCTACCCAGCAATTGCATTAATAGGTGCTTTTAAAAGGTAGCTGGTCCTCTCAAGATGTTGGCTTCTTTTAAAATTCTTTTAATCAAGATCTGCCTCTAATGCTCTTCATTTACTTTCTTAAGTGAAAATATAACATGAAAGCCAATTCCAAGCCACTGGAGGGGGCGAAAATAACTGTTACAGGGGCTGGACCGAAACAGAGACATAGTGCTTCCCCTTTGAAGTATGGCCACCTGTGAACTCCTATTGATCTTGGGCAGCCAAGCTTCAAAGGAATAAGGCTGCACTTCTCCCCCACCTGGCCACTGCGTGGTATAACACTTTTGAGTCAGCAGGGGCTACTTTGAAGTTAAAATTTGGATTAAAAAGCTAAATTGTGAGAGGTGAATAGCTCATAAGGTAGCTTTTAAAACAAATATGATTTGAGATCTGCTCAGTTGTATCTTCTTCACCTCCTTCGTTTACCCTCTTGTCACCTTCAGTATTTTAAAGGTCAGCCTTTTTCAAATTAGTTTCTATATCAGAATGTAATGAAGTCACTAACATGAAGGTGAATAGTTGATCTATCTAGAGCAATCAGGAAACTGAAAAGCCAAAATAGCTTCCCACCTACATCTGTTGACCTTGTAATGAGAAAGGAAATTCAGCAGAGAAACTAAACTTTTTTTCTTTGTCTTTTCAGTGGGCTGTAATAGAAATGGTGATTTATTTATAGATTTAAAATAAATTTTGAGAGGTAGTTGCATTTTGTGATTCTATATATTTACTAAAGTATATGTATTCAGACTGTTTCTGAGGGTGTGTTATAATCCTAAAAATTTCTCAACTCCTTATGGGGTCCTTTTAGTATATGAGAAAGCTAAAGAAAATAAAGCTTAATATGGAAATATTGCAATATTCAGGTTTAGTAGTTGAACATACCTTGCTTTGTATTCATGGAGATTAGTATATAGTTAAGAATAAAAGACTACTATCTTATGTCTATAATGATAGCATTTTCCTTTAAATTGGACTATTATGTTAAACATATTTTTAAATGTGGTATCCACTAAGAAAATACCAACCTTTTAAGTTTCCATTTCCATTTTAATCCTCAGAAAACGACTGTCCTCCTATGACTAGGACTTGAAAGGACTTTTTTTCCTGGATGAATACCTTAGTCACAAAGGATGTATGTAAGGGGTAATACCAAAGTTCTCACGACTCAGAAGAATTTAGGTAAGCTTTGCATAAAACTAGAAAGATTCTGAAGACTTGGTTCAAATCAATTCCTACAAACATCTCAAAGTTGCACTCAAACTTATAATTTGATTGTAGGATTAATAAGAATTTATTCTACTTTTCCATTAGAACAGTGGCCAGAATCACCTGAAATGTTTTGTTCCGCAATATGGTACCTGCCATTCAGGGTAGGGAAGAATTATAATCTCAGATGAGAACATGGAAGAGGAATGGAAAAGTTGGATAAAGGAAATATGTATAAATCTTTCACTCACTTTTAAGGCAGTCACATAGAAATAAATGAGAAAGATTTATTTAGAAATAAATAAATTAATTAAAGATTTATTTAGAAATAATTAGAAAAAAATCTGTATTCCCTATTATGCAATTTATACAATTTGCAATTATGTACATACTTATCCATCTATAGACATACATTTTTCGAAAGACTCTCAAATTTTACTTGTTTTATATACAAAATGCTAATAATAGTCTGCACTTTTAGAAGGTGAAGAAACTGTCAGTTTTATGCTGTGGAAGTAACATTTCATTTTTGCCAACACTAGCAACTATGAAACAAAGACCTCACCTTTTTTTTTTTTTTAACATTTTAGTATTAACAGCAATCACAGAGTTTTGCTTAGTCTCTGATAATAGAAATAATGTCAGCTGTACACCTGATATGCACAAGTAGCATTTCCTTAAAAGTTTCGAACTGCTGCTACAACTAGCTTGTTCCTGATTTTGTACGATAAGGTAAATGACCTCTCACATACTTTTCTATTTAAAAATCTCAGCAGAACATCATAAGCATGCCAACACTGTCAGTATTTTATTTTCTTTAATCTGCAACTTTCTATTTATTGGCTTTCATTTACTTGAAGCAACTTATGACAAGAGTTACAATGTGTACTGCTGTTTAAAACATATATATATACGTGTGTGAAGTAAACATTGTCTTTACTATCAGGAATCTTAAAGATCAGAAAATGAATAAGCTCATGAAATAATGAAAAACATTGAATTGTATGTTGATTTTATTTTCAAGGGTCAACTTTTAAAAAATTGTTTATTTATTTATTTATTTTAGATGAACCCTCGCTCTGTCACCCAGGCTAGAGTGCAGTGGCGTGATCTTGGCTCACTGCAACCTCTGCCTCCCAGGTTCAAGTGATTCTCCTGCCTCAGCCTCCCAAATAGCTGGGACTACAGGTGCCAGCCACGATGCCCAGCTAATTTTTTGCACTTTTAGTAGAGACAGGGTTTCACCATGTTGGCCAGGCTGGTCTCAAACTCCTGATATCAGGTGACCCGCCCGCCTCGGCCTCCCAAAGTGCTGGGATTACAGGAATGAGCCACCACGCCCGGCCAGGGTCAACATTTTATTTCAAATCTTTAATATTCTATATTCAGTAGAAGGCTTTTTTAGAAAAAGTCTAAATAAGATTCTGACAAATCAAAAGAATAGTTTTGCTTACTAACAACACTTTATACTAATAGTGGAATACAATACTTAAAAAATATTTAATTTGCAAGTGATGATTGACTACTAAAATCTCCTTTTGGCGAATGTAAAAATTTAAGAAGCTCCAGGACAAAGTACTGGAAACTTTAATAGCAGATGAGCATTCATCCCCTCCCAAATGTTTTTATTTTGTTTAGACTGAAACTTTCATTAGACGTGGTTGAAAACCATGAAACCTATGTACAAATTGTCTTAAGTATTCGATATTTAATTTAAAAACTGTGAGCACTGAAGCATAGATAAATTGTAATTACAGAACAATTTAATTTTTTTAATGATTCACATAAGAAAAACAAATCTTTTTTCTTTATAGTTATATCCATATAATTATGGTTATATCCATATAGTTATATAGGTTATATCCATATAGTTATAGAAATACATGTTATGGTTATATCCATACAGTTATATATATATATATAATTATAGTAATATCCATATAAGCATATATTTGTTTATATTTCTGGGAAATAAATATAATATGTATAATATCCATTCAAATTTAGAAATTGTTTTCTTACTCTCAGACTGCTTATCATGTCTATCTATCTATCTATCGGGGTATGTTTAAGTTTAAAAGTAAAGTTGTCATTTTTTAAAAACATTGTGACTCCAAAAATAATATCTGATGTTGCTGTACATGAGCACCATGTATCTTTCATCTAACCTGCAGAAAAATTAAAATGATTTAATCTCACATTGTGTTATTGTTATTATTAATAACTATATTGTTAAAATATTAATTGTTTATTTTTTAAATAATTGTCCCAAGGAAACAGAAGAAGATTTTAAAAGTTTGATTAGCATTTTATTCTATTTACCTCTCATAGCTAGCAATCATGTTGGACACATGACAAGGACTTTTTGCTTCACTCTGACTAGAAACATGGTCTAAAGAGAAAAACATTCCTATAGAGAGAGTTTAAGAATTATTTGATGGTAGGAGGGACAGACAAAAAATCTATTCGAAATAGTAAACACTCATCACTGTTGTTGGAGAATAATTAGAAGTAGCTTGAGATAATATTTTCAATAGCACAAAATTTTGACTTGAATAGAATATAAATATTATAAACACTTAACACAGAAGCCATGTCTCCTGCTCAAGGCACTGCTCTCCAGCCTGGCCTTTGATTCTTGTGAATGAATTAGCAAAGATTTGAATCCGTTACGTGTTGAATGGCCAGGAAAGACTGGGATGGGTACGTGGGTTTAAACACAGAGCTCCGTGCAAGTTAGGTTTAGGGAACTTTCAGAGTAATTGCAAAAACATCAGGCTGGAGAATGCTAGGTAGAGT
The DNA here is from genome assembly GCF_000001405.40 of Homo sapiens. Lineage (NCBI taxonomy): Eukaryota > Metazoa > Chordata > Mammalia > Primates > Hominidae > Homo > Homo sapiens. The sequence goes on along the minus strand of NC_000006.12, from coordinate 92,807,289 downwards.
CAAGTAATTAAAATTTTAGAAACATGCTAATTGTCCAACTTGTTAAGTAAAATCAATACATACTTTGCTCACCTTCGTTACACATACTTTTAAGCCTCAGCTATTGGGATACTTTTCATTTACACATTCAAACAAAAAGTAGGGAAATCTATCATAATGAATTTCAATATATTTTCTTTTCTTAACAATTTCTGCAATTTGTTTACTTATCTAATGAACCAAAAATTGAGGAGAAGAGAGGGAAGATTTAATATATTTTATAGGATCTTGACCTCCTTTTTATGTATATGCTTGCTCTTCTTAGTTCTAAAACATATGTGATGCTTTCTTTGAAACATAATAAAACTATGACAAACAATATAACCTGTATTATTTTTTAGTTTATATGCATATGTATAAACTAAATTTTTAGGTATGTGCTTGTTCTTCGTTCTAAAACATATGTGATACTTTCTTTGAAACATAATAAAACTATGATAAACAATATATCTTTTATTATTTTTTAGCTTATACTCCTTGAATTCCATTAAAATAAAAATTTATATTAAGCACCAGTTACCTGGCAATAGTATTAGTTACTGGAAATTTAGCTCTTAATACCACAAACCAGTTACACACAAGGTTGTGTGGGAGCAAATAGCAAATACATCTAACCTGCTCTAGAGGTTTGAGGACATACTCTTGGAGAAAATAATGTTTTAGCTGAGACTTGAAGCACTAATAAACTTTAATCAGGCAAACTGGAGAAGGAGAATTGGACGTATTTGAGTGAAAACCAAAAGAGGATGTGAACTATGTGATTCCTAGTTGTGCACATAGTACAGCACATGCTGTGTTCTGATGTTCACAGATGATTGTGCCTTATTGTATTGTTCTGTTAGCACAGGGCTTGTTACATCATAGGCGAGCCAACAAAGACTTAAAGAAAAATAAATATTAGAGGCAAGGAAACAAATCATTCATTCTAGAAACAAACACCAACCACAGATCAGGTATTTGGGGGGAAACTGCAAAGACACCATTGATGAAAATACTAGGAAGTAAAAATGTATAGGCAAGAGTGGTGATGGGAAAGAAATACAGAGAAAGAAGAAAAAACAATGACAGATGAACAAAATATTTTTTGTTTCATCAACCAAACATATTTTGTTCTCTTGGGACTCCTGATACCATACCTCACCTTTTTCTATTTCTTCTGATAACCATGGCTCTTCATATTCTGCAATTCACCATCAGAAAGGGGCATGCTCTTCTCATTCATAGGTAAATGTACAGTACAACCTTTCATGATAACATACCAAAATTTTAGTTTATGTAAGTTTAGGTTACTCTTATCTAACTTTTATTTTTAGGTTAGAGAATAGGAATTGTTGTTAATAGTGAAAGTTTGCCATAGTGATCTAAAAGAGGAGAAAAAAATGGAAATTGAAAATGTAAGGATTCATAAATCTACCTTAAACACTTACTGGAAAAATGATAATAATCCTTCTTACTAACACATTTTACGTGTCTGCATTTTTTAGCACCGTATCTAAGCAAATAGATGAGATGGCATGAGCTCGAGAGAGAAAAGCATTCTGTAACAGAGAAGCAACATAAGGGCTCCACTTGTGTGTGTTTGAGATTTTTCATAATGCTGTGGCTTTTCTTATCAAATTCTTTCTCCTCTTCATCAGCTTCAGAGTCCATGCACTTTGTCATCCACATCATCATCCATTATCCATTTTTCTGCCAGGCTGAGAAAACACTGAAGGATGAAAACACTTTCAACTGACATTGGGAGAGTGAAATAACACACTGAACAAGCAGTGGCTCAGGGACTCTATTTCTTCCTGGTGTGTAAATGACTGCAGCCACGCTGTTCAGTAGATTGATGGAAAGATGAAGGGACAGAGTAGCCTACATTCCACCAATCTATCTCAAGGATGATAAGACCTTCATGACCCTTGAAAGGACGTTTCTATTTCTTATTTTTAAAAAATGTTCAACTGTTTAAATATTAGTGAAGATAAATGTTAAAAACATTAGTAGGATACAAAAGTTGCAATCTTAAAACTATCACATTTAGGCTACTGTAGATATCTTGAAATACCCTGCTTTTGGTAGGTAGAAAATAAAGTGTGATGTTTCCATGAAGCTTAGCCAAGTGGAGGAAATTTGGTCTAATTGAACAAGAACTTAATACAAAGTATTTTCAGGATCCCTGTATAGGAGTACATGGAATCTAACAAATGTGTTCAAATTCACCAACCTTTTCAGCCTTATTTGCATAATACTGAATGATGCAAAACAAAATCTTATAAAGAGCCATGAAATACTTGGGTATATGTCAAGTTTATCTTTAAAAAATTTCATTTTAAAATGGTAATTGAAGGCCCCTGCAACGTTGAAGTTCCCATGTATTTAACATTTTGTTTGTAACTTCTTAGAAGATAATTTCAGTTGAGAAACATAGCTGAACTGACCAAAATAAATAGGGAAGATTTTACTTTAGTCTTTAATTTATAATCATATTAAAACAATTCCTTCTTACTGAGAGTTAGAGCAAAATGACTGTTGAATATTTTTTTCAGTTCCATAATAGACTCTCTCCAGGAAACAAAACAGACAAATCAATACACCAAAATGGTGCAAATAATTTTCCTTTGAATAGCAAGCAATACACAAAATGTCTGAATTCTGACAGACTCTGAAGTTATTAAAGGAATTTTATATCAAATAGTTCATATGTATACATTTGGATAGCATTACAAAATTCAAAGGTGCCATGTGTTAAGGAATATAAAATGTAATACAATCTAACGTTCAGTCTATGTTTCTGATATTAATATTAACCCAGACATTCTTAGAGTACATTGTATCCTTTTATAAAATAGACAAATGCATGAGAGATATTGAAATAAACTTCAGCTTTATGAATAAATCTTTTAATGTTCTAATAACAGTGAGGAAAAGACTGATACTCAGTACACCTTTTATCATCTCCCTCCCCAAAAGAGAGTACCATAATAAAACAATTTAATTTAAAATTATTGAACCAAATGTCCTTTAAAAACGAGTGAATGCATTTAAATTTACTAATATTCTAGAGAATATTGAACGTGATTTGGAAACTCTTGAAATATAATTCAGGCCGGGCGCGGTGGCTCACGCCTGTAATCCCAGCACTTTGGGAGGCCAAGACGGGCAGATCACGAGGTCAGGAAATCAAGACCATCCTGGCTAACACAGTGAAACCCCGTCTCTACTAAAAATGCAAAAAATTAGTGGGCATGGTGGCTGGCGCCTGTAGTACCAGGTACTCGGGAGGCTGAGGCAGGAGAATGGCCTGAACCCAGGAGGCGGAGCCTGCAGTGAGCCGAGATCGCGTCACTGCACTCCAGCCTGGGGGACAGAGCGAGACTCGTCTCAAAAAAAAAAAAAAAAAAAAAAAAAAAAAAAAAAATATATATATATATATATATATATATAAATTCAGTAATTCATTACATTCCAGCCTTTTAATCATTTACCTTTTAAGAAATCTAACAATAAGATTCAGTACAAATATTGACAACCCTTTTCCCCGCCGTGCTAAAGCCTGAGAACGTGTTGACTTTGGATGGAAAAGAGTAGCAGTGAGTAAGTTTGGCCATTTACTACAGTAAAAGTTGGCTTCTAACCTGCCTCCATATTTGTGTCACTCATATGCCATTGCAGCCTGTTTTTATCTTTTAATAATAAAAGAAACCAAACAAATCATATATATCTGTTTTTAGAGCTTACAAAATGCACCAATAAGCAAATTGTTTTGTCCATCTGTACTTACTGGAACAATTATAAGTTACTTATACTTCTGGGAACTGAATGAGGATTTTTCTCTTTCTCTTTTCTTTTCGTCCTTTTATCCCATTAGTCTGTCTTCTTTTTATCTCCCTTTCTCCTTCCCTTCTTTCTCCTCCTTCTCTTCTTCCTTTTTTTTTCTTTTTCCCTTCCTTTATTCCCTTCTCTTCCTCTTCTTTCGTACCTGCTCCTTTCTCCCTTTCTCTTCACATTACTCACAACTAGGATGTCAAAATGAGACTGCTAACAGAGTGAAGGTCCTCATAATTTCCTGAATCTGAAGTTGCTAGATTAATCTAAGCTTATGCAAATTTTAAGTGTATGAGTGTCTTGGGAAGGCTCACTCGAGTCACATAAAATGGGTTATTTAGTCTGAAAATTTTCAACTGGTAGGAGAGAGATTTTTTCCATCTTTCTTTTAATTTAACTATTTCTTTTCCCCAAAGTCTAGCCTTGCAATATTTATGCGTTCCTTTATTTTTCTTGTGCTATTTAATACTATCTCTCTTACCTCCTAAACTTCAAAACTTAAAATTGAACTACCTCTACTTTTTCAAAATTTGTTTTTACCTGCTATCATTCAATGTCATAGAATCATCTTCAATATTTATTTTCAAAAGGCAGACACAATTTTAAGTAGTAAATCTCATTCTGCCAAAATTGATTTTAGCTGCAAAGCCAAAACATATTCTTGCTTCATTTTATTACAGATTCTTACTCCATTGTGCTGATCTAACCTGGTGTTCATTTTTGGCCACCATTTTTGTCTCTATCATTACACATTTTTGTTTGCAGTTATTTATTATACCATTATTGTACTTCATTTTTTCTTTTCTATTATTTGATTTAGATAATATATACTATTTTTCCAACTCTGAAGAACCGTAGCTCCAAAAGTTGCTTATTCTAGCTTGTTTTTGTAATAAATATGAAAAGTGGATTTGTACATTGCTTGTTATCTTTTCATTTGCATGCATGTGATTTAGCATACCACCAAATAATTCTATTTGGCAAAAATTCTGGTGGCAAAAATCAACTAGGCAAACCAATTTATTCCTGAAATTCTCTTCATTTACTGGTGAAATGTTGGAAGACAGTTCTTCACGGGTCTTTTGTTTCTGTACATCTTGCAAACAGGCACACTTGACTGCTCTTTGTTCCAGAGTATCTTTTAAAGGATATTTGTATAAAGAATAGTCATGGATCATAAAGTTAACACTCCCTCTGAAGTAACAGGTTTGCTTATACTCATGGAAGACAGAGATGACTGTCTCCCTTGGGATGAAAGGGTAGGCATACTTATTATACAATATAAAATATTCAGGTCCCCTAAACTCAGGTTTTCCCTCCTATAATACAATGTGGGTACCACGTAGACCACTTCATGTTGCCCTGAAAGAATCAGGGCTTGGGGAAATAGTACAAATACTGATCCTTTGGTTCTGCTATTACAATAAACCATCCTTTACCTCTGCCCCAGGAGTCTCGTGTCATCTAACAGCATCCATGAAACTTGACAGGCTATCTCCAACCTTTAAGAGTTTTTGACAGGTCTTGGCAACTTAGGTGACATTCTTATAGAGAGATGGCTTTCTGAAAGAGTATCCCTTGGGGACTCATTATCGAACTCTGAGTAAAGCTCATGGAGACCAGTAATGAAATGTTGACACAATTGTATGTTCAACCAGGCAATAAATGGTCCTCTACTTTATTTTCTATTGATGAGGAGAAATTGGAGAGACAAATTGCAAGATGAGAGCCTGAAAGCAGGTTCTAAGACAAGATACCCAAACACTGCCTAGGTGCTGCTAACCGCCTTGCAGGCTGGAGGGTGTGGGGAGGACTTCTACCAATTCGGCATCCAGTCCCTGGTTTGCCCCACTGTAACAACTCATACTAAGATTTGCTTGTGGGAGGGAAGATGTTTCTGACTCTCTTTGGAAAATATTTATAGAGACGTGCACCCACATGGGTGAAACAAGAGACAGTCATCAACACTGTGGTAGAAACCCAAGAAATCATTAGAAATTTCATTGGTGCTTGAGAAATGAGGGGCCAGGCATACATATAATGCTCGTTAAGAAGAAATGCAACAGCTGAGCTATCTTACAGCTCAGCACCGCCTACAGTCTTTGCTGCCAATCTTAAATTCACTTTGTCTCAGGGATTTTGCAGTGAGTCTTGGCTGCTATAAGAGAGCTTTGGTACTCTCAGGAAGAATTTCATGAGAGAGATGATTTTTTCATGGAAAATCATAGATGAGGCAACAGCTAGCACTAGGGCTCTTACTGCCAAGATTTGGTTTAAAATGTGAATGCAGTTAACTCATGAGAAAATAAGAAACGGACTCAAAGGGACGTTGATAAATTAATTCTGCAAGCCTTGCTAGTCTGGAGTAGAGGGTAGAGTAGGGTGTTAAAATTGTACAATAAAAATAACAGAAATCACACAAAACAAACATTGCAAGGCTAGAGTTCCTTTGGCTAAAAGAACCCTTATATGAAGGGAAAGAAAACAAGTCACTCTCCCTACTGAGGGAAAACTTAAGAGATATTATTCTTGTAATGGACAGCAGATGATATGGATTAAAATGGCGTCCTAAAAAAAAAGACTGACACTAAGCAAATCAAGTCTGATTCAGTCAAACAAACCTTGTGGTTTTAGTCAGAAAGCAATGTGATGGTGGCTTCTGAAATAGAAGATCCCAAAACTGAGAATGTCAGTAATAATGACCTTGCTGCCCCGTAAAAAGTTTAGAATGAGCTGAAAACATTAAAGTTTTGTTTTTGAATTATAAGATACTGCCATGCTGCTTGCAACTGCAGTGAATTCAAAGCCTTGCTTACTGACTCAGAGCTACTCTCTCCCTTCATGTCCTCAGTTCCTCTTTACTCTTACACCTCAAAATTCCTTGCTGTAATGACAAAGATAATCAGGGATGAGACTAGGTCTGCCTGTTTACAAGGGTAACTGAATGCTATATACAGCAATCCAAGGATGTTGGGGGAGCTTCAAGAAGGAGAGAGGCAAACTTTGATGGCGCCATTGGACGGAACTGGCCAAGTCACAATCCTACATGTATGTGGAGGGAGGGGGTGCCCATATTCATCTGATGGGGTTTGAGGAAGTTTTGCAGTAGGAAAGGAAAGGACACTAACATGATATTGTGGGTAGGGCACTGCACTATTTTTGTTCCTTCTCCATTTGAATGTATAGTAAGAATTGACATGTTCATTCTTATATCATCCTGTGTCATAAATTCCTGGAATTCCTTTGATCAAGAAGAGTAACATTTGTGTTTTGTTTTGAGGGCCACAGTGTTCTCAAACATATTTGCATGCGTGTGTATGTGCGTGCATTCACACACACACACACACACACACACACACCTAGAACCCTCCTTCCTTACTGGCCTAAAAAGGAATGGAATACTTTAATCACTTATCATTGCCTTCAAGTTACGACCCTGGCATGCCTCAGATAAAATTGTCATGTATTATATAATATTACTCCTTGCACTATTTGTGGATAAAATCTTATGTACAGAAAATATAAGATACCCTTAAAAATTGAGTATTTAATATCTTAAGTGAAACTTTATGTTTAGTTACACCTTTGAAAGAGTGAAAGAAAATAAGCATGGAGGCACATTAGAAAAAGTGAAGTCCCAGGACATTTAAGCTTAATATGAGAGAATTATGCCTCTCTTTGGTTGTTGGCATGAAGAAGGAGGTTGGTAAATCAAGGATTAGGGAGTGCTCAAGACAAAATTTGCACTATATTAAAATTGTACTATGTGCATCTTTTAGAATAAAGTAAAAACTATCTCTAGGACTCCAACCCTGAATCCTACATGGCTAATATCCTCACAGATATTTGGTGGCATTAATTTGCATGAGTGGCTCTCAGTCCTAAGCATGAAGAGAGAGTTATTCCCTGCCTAAGCTTTATGAAAGGCTCGGGTATCTCTGCCTCATATGATAGGCAAAATTACCTTGAACAATATCCAAGGAGAATTCTGGGAAGATGGTGGAGTAGGAAGCACCAGCAATCAGTCTTTCTACCTCAATAGTAATTGCACTGGCCGTCTCTGACTCTTGTAACTGTTTTGGAAATCTGGAGTCTATTGAAGGCTTGCAACCCCCAGGGGAAGGCTTGATAGGTCAATTTTAGTTCTCAGCATAGTAGCAACCACTTATCCCTCATGTAGGGTAAGCAGGTGTGCATGCATTCCAGGAGCAGCTTGCATACAGTTAGTGGGAGCTAGGGTGGGCAAAAAGGACCCTGTTCTCCAAATATTAGGGAGCTGTGCTCTGATTGCTGATTGCTGCTTCTGATTACTGAGGTGCAGAAAAGGAGGTGGGTAGCCATTGTTCTTATACCTCCCTCATTGTTGCAAGCTGTCCACCCTATAGCTAAAGTGACTTCCAGGGGATTTAAAGGGTTGGCACCCATTCCTCCACTCTTTCATTTTTTCTCTTTTCCCTTTTTTGGGAGCCAGATATTTATGACTAGGACATTCACAAATAACAGCATATACAGGAAAATTAGAAAGTGACCATACTTGCCAGGGAAAGGCACAGACTCAGGAAACACCCGAGAAAACCTTAAGTTTACATCACAGGCTGATCCTTAGCACAGGGACAACCTACAACAATTTAAAAAGAATAAATAAAAACAACAAATAGCAAACTCTGGGGAAGGGAAAGAATATGATTTCCTGAATTGCCACATTATTAGATTCAAATGTCCAGTTCTTGCCAAAAAAAAAAAAAAAATCACAAGACACACAAAGAAACAGAAAAGTATGGCCCACTCAAAGAAAAAATAAACTATGGAAATTGTTCCTGAAAAGAACAGAAAGTATATCTACTAGATAAAGATTTCGAAGAACTGTCTTAAATATGCTCAAATAATTAAAGATGGGGAGAAAGCTAAGAAAACAATATATGAACAAAATGAAAATATCAATAAAGAGTTAGAAAACCTAGAAATGAACCAAAAAAATTATAGAACTGGAAAGTACAATAGTTAAAATGAAAAAAAAAATACTAGAAGGATTCAAAGGCAGATTTGAGTAGGGAGAAGAAGGAATCAGTGACCTTGAAGGTAGGACAATGGAAATTATCAAGTCTGAGAAACAGAAAGAAAAAAGTTTGAGGAAAAGTGAACTAAACCTAAGAAATCTGTGGGACACCATTAAGCAGAAATCAACATAAAATTGCAGGAGTCCCAAAGGAGAAGAGACAAAGTTCCAGAGAGAATATTTTAAAAAATAATAGCTAAACACTTTCTAAATTTGATGAAAGATATGAATATAAACATCCAAAGAGCTCAACAAACTGTAGGTAAAATGAACTCAAGGACATCTACATGGAGAAACATTATAATCAAATTTTTACAAGCCAAAGACAGAGAATCTTGAAAGCAGCAAGAGGGAAGTAACTTGTCATATACAAGAGTACCTCAATAAAATTATGAGATTTCTCATTAGAAACATTGGAGGACAGAAGGCAGTGGGCAAATATTTCAAAGTTGTAGTTGGAAAAATACTGTCAATCAGGAGTCTTGTATCTAGCAAAATTGTCCATAAATGAGGGAGGAATTAAGAAATTTACAAGTAAGCAAAAGCTAGGGAGGTTTTTGTTTGTTTGTTTGTTTGTTTTGTCATGTTTAAGGGAGTCCTGCTGGGTGAAATAAAAGGACAGTAGGCATTAACTTGAAGCCATATGAAGAAATAAATATCTCAATAAAAGTAACGCATGGACAATAAGAAAAGCTAATATTATTATAACAATCATCTGTAATGACAATTTTTATTTTCTACATGGTCTAATATATTATTACATTAAAAAAATTTAGTCTAAAAGCTAATACTATTGTAATCTTGGTTTGTAAATCCAGGTTTTGTTTTCTACAATCATCAAGAAATAATGAATTTTATTTCATGATGTTTGGAGCACACAATATATAAACATGTAATATTGTAACATCAACAAAAGGTGGTGATAAAGCTGATAAAGGAGCAATGCTTGTGCATGTTATTGAAGTTAAGCTAATATAAATTTAAATTGCAGTGTTATAACTGTATGATGATAAATGTAATTGCCATGATAACCACAAAGAAAATAGCCATAGAATACAAACAAAAGAAAATAAAAAAGAACTTCAAATGTTTTACTTAAAAAAAATCAACTAAACACAAAGGAGATGAGTAATGCAGAAAGTGAGGGACAGAAAAGCTGTAAGGCATCTAGAAAACAAATAGCAAGGTGACAGATGTAAGTTTACTTATCAGCAATTACTTTATTTTATTTTAATATTTATTTATTTATGGGGGGTTGGGGGCGAAGTCTCTTTGTTGCCCAGGCTGGAGTCCAGTAGTGCAATCTTGGCTCACTGCAACCTCCGCCTTTCGGATTCAAGTGATTCTCCTATCTCAGCCTCCCAAGAAGCTGGGATTACAGGCACGCACCACCACACCTGGCTCATTTTTGTATCTTTGGTAGAGACGGCGTTTCACCATTTTGGCCAGGCTGCTCTTGAACTCCTGGCCTCAAGTGATTCTCCTGCCTCAGCCTTCCAAAGTACTGGCATTACAGGTGTGAACAACTGTGCCCAGCCTTAGCAATTACTTTAAATGAAAATAATTTAAAATATCCAATGAAAAGACAGAGATTTGTAGAATAGATTAAAAAACCATAATCCAACTGCCTGCTTCCTATATTTGAATTAAATTTACATCCAAAGACACAAATAGATTAAAAAGTAAAGGAGGGGAACAGATATTTCATGCAGGTAGTAACCAAAAGAGAGCAAGGTGATTATAATAATACTAGACAAAATATGTTTTAAATTTTAAAAAAATTGGAAAAGACAAAGAAGGACATTTTGTGTTATAAAAGTTTTAATACAACAAGAAGATATCACAGTCATAAACATGTACATACCTAATGACAGACCACCAAAATATATTTAAAAAACTGACAGAATTGAAGGGAGAAATTGTTCTACAATAATAGTTGGAGACTTAAAATCAAATTCTCAATGTATAGAACAACCAGGGAGAAGTAAGGAAATAGATGACTTGTACAACACAGTATGCCAACAAGATCTAACAGACGTATACAGCCCACTCTACCCAAAAACAATAACAGACACATTCTTCTCAAGTGCACATGCGACATTTTCCAAGATAGACCATATGTTAGACCAGAAAAGAAGTCTTAATAGATTTTAAAAGATATACTTCATGCAAAGTATCTTCACTGACCAGAATAAGATGAAGTTTGAAATCAATAAGAGAAAGGAAAGAGGAAAATTCACAAATTTGTGGAAATCAATTAATACATTCTTAAACACAATGGATCAAAGAAAAAAATCACATGAAAAATTAAAGAAAAACTAAGAGATGAATGAAAACATAATCACAAGATACCAAAACTTTTGGAATACAGTGAGTGCAAAGGGTAAAATTACGGCTATAAATGCCTATGTTAAAAATCAAGAAAAATCTCAAATCAACAACCAAGCTTTACAATTTAAGGAACTAGCAAAAGAAAAGCAAGATACACCCAGTGCTAGCGGAAGAAAGGAAATAAGACAGATTAGAGCAGAGGTGAACAAAATAGAGAACAGAAAAGCAATAGAGAATATGATGAAACCCAAAACCAATGAAATCAAAGCACCAAAGCTAGTTCTTTGAAGTGATCAACAAAATTGAGAAACCTTTTAGCTAGCTAATAAGAACAAAGAGTAGGACTCAAATTGCTAAAATCTGAAATAAAAGTGGAATATTACTATGTATTCTATGGAAATAAAAATGATTTTAAGAGTGTATTATGAACAATTGTATGCCAAAAAATTTGATAACCTAAAGGAAATGAATCAATTTCTAGAAACATAAGACCTACCAAGGTTAAATCACAAATAAATGAAAATATGAATAGACCTATAACTAGTGAGAAGATTGAAGTAATAATAAAAAAAAGTCCTAATAAAGAGAGCCCTTGACTTGACGGTTTCACTGGTGAACGCTACCAAATATTTAAAGAAGCACTAATACCAATCCTTTTCAAAATTTGTCAAAGTATTGAAGAGGAGGGAACACTTTCTAACTCATTCTATGAGGCCAGTATTTTCCAGATACCCAAGCCAGAAAAAGACACTACACAAAAAGAAAACTATAGATATCTTTAATAAACATTAATGTAAAAAGTCTTCAATAAAATACCAGCATATTGAATTCAGCAGTAAATTACGAAGATTACATCCCATGACCAAGTGGGATTTATTCCTGGAATGGTCTCCACATATAAAAATTGATCAGTATAATGCATTACATTAAGAGAATGAAGAAAAAACACATATGATCATCTCAGTTGATGCAGAAAAACCATTTGACAAAATTCAACACCTTTTCATGATATAAAAACTAAACAAATTAGGAATAGAAGAAAACTACCTCAATATAATAAAAGTCATATATGAAAATCCTGCAGGTAACAGTATACTCAGTGGTGAAAGAGTAAAAGCTTTTCCTCTAAAAACATGACAAGGCAAGGATGCCTGCTTTTACCAATTCTATTTGTTACAGATTTGTTACAGTACTGGAAGTTTTAGCCAGAGCAATTGGGAAAGAAAAAGAAATAAAAGGCACCTACATTGGAAAGGTAGAAATAAACATCTCTATTTGCAGATTATATGATCTCATATGTAGAACTTTATAAAAAAATTCCTAAAGTTTGAACTAATAAATCAATTCAGCAAAGCAAGAGGATATATAGTCCACATACAAAAATCAGTCACATTTCTATACACTAAAAATGAACAATCTGAAAAGAAAGTTTAAAAAAAATTGAATTTACAATGTCATCAAAAACAACAAAATACTTAAGAATTAACCAAGTTGGCAAAAGACTTGTTGTCTTAGTCTGTTTGGGCTGTTATAACAAAATGCCATAAAGTAAGTAGCTTGTAAACAACAGACATTTATTTTTCCCAGCTTTGGAGGCTGGGAATCCAAGACAGAGGCACTAGCAGATTCTGTTTGGTTAGGACCTGCTTTTCCGTTTGTGAAAGTCCTCTTGCTGAATCCTCACATGGCTAAATGAGAAAACACTTGTCTCTTCAGCCCCTCATAAGGGCACTGATCTCATCGATGAGTACTCCGTCCTCATTATCTAATCACCTCCTGAAGGCCTCACTTTCTAATATCATCACATGGGGAATTAGGTTTCAACACATAAATTTTGGGGTCACACATTCAGATCGTAGCACTTGTATAATAAAAATTACAAAACGTGCTAAAAGAAATAAAGAATTCACAAATAAATGTAAGCACACCCCATGCTCATGGATTGGAAGACTTAATCCCGTTGAGATTTCAATACTGCCCAAAGCAATCTACAGACTTAATGCAATCCCTATCAAAATCCCAATGGCATTTTTACAAAAATAGAAAAACTCATCTAAAAATTCATAGGAAATCTCAGGGACTCTGAATAATCAAAATGACCTGGAAAAGAGCAAAGATGGAGGACTCAAACTTTGATTTCAAAACTTTCTACAAAGCTATCGTAATCAAAAAAAGGATAGTGCTGGCATAAAGACAGAGAGATAGAGCAATGGAAAATAATAGAAAACCCAGAAATAAACCATGATATATATGGTCAAATGGTTTTTGACAAGGGGGCCAATGCCATTCAGTGAGGTAAATGGCAAGTCTTTTGAACAATCAGTGCTTGGAAAACTAGATATCCACATATATATATATATGACTAATTATATATCCACATATATATTTGTCTAATATTTTATATATATACACATATATATATATAAAGTGAAGTCAGACCCTTACTTAACACCATATACAAAAATTAAAATAAAAAATCAAAATGGATCAAGGACCTAAATGTAAGGTCCCAAATTATAATAAGCAGTAGAAAATATAGTGTGGTTGACAGGGGCTGGAGTTTGGAGGAATGGGGAGTTACTGTTTAATGGTTATAGAATTTCAGTTTTACAAGATGGAAAGAGTTCTGAAGGTAGGTGGTGGTGATGGTTGCACAGCGTTATGAATGTATTTAGTATTATTGAACTATCACTTACAAATGTCAAGATGCTCAATTTTCTTATGTGTTTCTCATCACAATAAAAAACTTGGGCAAAAATCACCTTAAACAATTCTCCAATCCCAATTTTATGGCTTATGCAAGGCCTACAGCCTTACAAGATTCAAGAACTCTGAAGATTCCAGTGTTCAGGCACTTTTGTGAGTAAGCGTGGGTTTCTCTTTACTCCTTTTGTCTTCACCTCCTAACCTGTGTGTGGTCTATGTATTATCACAATGCATCCACCCATATTAATCCCCTTAGGTGTTTTCACAAGATATCTCCTTATACCAAACATTTCATAAACTTTACTGAATAACTGGAATGAGAGGGTGTCACATGTTGATCTTCTAAGGTCTCCCAGGCTTTATTAATACTTCTCCTACTTTTTGCTGATGTTCAGATCCTACTTTTTAAATTGCGTAAACCAAACATGAAGAACTCGGTAGATAGTAGAAAAATTGATATTTTCATTTAAAATCCTCTGAGATTACATCAAATTACTTAATTTGGACTGTTTAAATAATCATAGATTCATGTAGAAATATTTTAATCTAAAAATTTTGTCTTTAAGGATACATAAATACTTTTTTTCTGTTACCTCATTTTATGGAAACAGTTAAATACATTTTTGCAAACTATCGAAGGTATCTTAAAAAAGGCTGGGAAGAGCTATGATATATACAGCAATATTGTAAAACAAATCATTTTTTACCCTTTTATAGAGACTACTGTGACATATAATTTTTAAAGAGTTTAATGAGTTTGGAGGTTTCAAATGTTAACCACTGCCATATTTGGAGCTGCCAGCACCAAATATTTTTTAAAGTGACTACTTTTATTTTTTCCTTTTTCTGTGACTATACTTAAGATACTGCAGAAGAAATTATGTCATCAATAAGAATATAACTTTTTAAATATCAATAAGAAAAAATAATTTTCAGAATATGTCATAGTCAGTATTAAACATAATACAAGCTGGAAAGAAAGATTGAGAGATCTTGAAAGTGCAGTCTTGTGATATCCAGTTTGAAGAACTTTTGGCCCAGTGGAATTAATTGGGCCATTCTTCTTTCTCTCTTTCTCTCAGCACCCCTGCCCCTCGTGGAAGAGTTTACGTAAGATAGAAAATATTTCTTCCTTGAAGCTTTTCTGGAACTTACTGATAGATACATCTTGAATTAGAGTTTTCTTTGAAAAAAAATTATTGATTCAATCTTCTGGACTATACAGTGTTTCAGTTTCCTTTTTAGACAGACACTTTGGTATATTTTATGAGTATCTGAAATATTCATATTGATTGGTATAAAATTTTTTCTTTTTTAAAATATTTATTTATTTATTTATTTATTTATTTATTTATTTATTTATTTATTGAAATGGAGTTTTACTCTTGTCACCCAGGCTGGAGTGCAATGGCACCATCTAGGCTCACTGAAACCTCCACCTCCCGGGTTCAAGCAATTCTCCTGCCTCAGCCTCCCAAATAGCTGGGATTACAGGCACCTGCCACCATGTCCAGCTAAGTTTTGTATTTTTGTAGAGATGGGGTTTCACAATGTTGGCCAGGCTGTTATTGTACTCCTGACTTCAGGTGATCCACCCGCCTCAGCCTCCCAAAGTGCTGGGATTTCAGGTGTGAGCCATTGTGCTGGCCAAAGTTTTTTCTTTTTTTTTAATATATAAAATCTGTTCTTTAAATGTCTGTAGCATTTGCAGTTGTGTGCTCTATTTCATTGCTGATATTGCTTACTCATCTCTTTTTTTTTCTAATTTAGTTTCTGTCAAGTTAGACAATTTTATTAACAATATCCAAAAATAAAATTTGTGTTCTATTGATCCTTTCCATAGTATTTGTTTGTTTCATCACTTTCTGCTCTTAATAAAGTTTTTCTTCATTCTATTTTCTTGGGTTTATTTGTTATAATTTTTCTAACTTCTTGAGATGGATCCTTACCTCATTAGTTTTCAGGCTTCTTTCTCTATAATGTATTGTTTAAGATTTTAAATTTTCCCCTAAATATGGTTTTAGCTGCATTTACAAGGATTAGAAAAGATGGGAACATCACACACCGGGGCCTGTCATGGGGTGTGGGGAGGGGGGAGGGATAGCATTAGGAGATATATCTAATGTAAATGACGAGTTAATGGGTGCAGCAAACCAACACGGCACATGTATACGTATGTAACAAACCTGCACGTTGTGCACGTGTACCCTAGAACTTAAAGCATAATAAAAAAAAAGAAAAAAAGAGAAAAGTTTAGATGAAAGTATTTTCTAATTTCTGTTTTTTTAAAAAGTGTTTTTTCATGAGTACTTTCAAATACAATTTTAAATTTCTAACTACAGGAAATGTTTTAAAGTTATTTCATTATTTCTAGCTTAATTGTTTTGTGATGAGAGACTATTATACTGTATCAGTCTTCCAATAATTGTTGAGATTTTATAGTCAAGTACAAAATCAATTTTTGTAAGTGGTCCAGGTGTGCTAAAAAATAAAGTTTATTATTCTATTATTGTGGTTGTGTTTGTATGTTCATGCCTACTATAAACTCACTGTTGTTTTTGTCTGGTTGTTTTGTTAATTACTGAGAGGTATGTTAAAATTTTCCACTCTGATTACAGTCTATTTTGGTTTGCAAATTTAGAGTGGTTTTGTTTTTGTTTTTTGCTTTCATAAATGGAAACCGCTTAGGCTGACTGCTGTCTCTCTGTCTTACTCTAAGTAAGAAAAGCAAGGTCATCATTAGCAAATGGCAGTTGCAGCACAGCAACACCAAGAATCCACTTCACACTTAGAACTGAATGCTGCACCTCCTCTTTGTGGTTTCCAGCGCTCCACATGTTAAGAGAAGCCTCTCTAGTAGGAACTAAAGAAATGATTCCTGAAAGGAGTCTTTGTATATTCTTTCTTTATTCATCTTAAGGCTGTGTATTTCAAAATATATGAATTCAGCTCGTACTATTCTGATGAGTTAAAAACTTTATATTGTTACAAGACTCTATTTACTTCTTCCAAAACATTTATCTGATATCAACTTTTTTGAGATTAATATTTGCATGATATATCTTTACTTGGTCTTTATAATTCTATATCAATCTCATACTCACTATTGTCTTTCTCTAGCTATTCTTGGCATTGTTTTCTCTTTGTCCTTTATTTTCTGTAATTTCACTAAAATATTTCAACGTTTGGATTTATCTTTCTTTAACGTACTTGGAATTTGATGGATGTTTTCTTTGGACCTGTTGTATGTTCTTGTTTTCTCTTTAAATATTTTTTGGCCTTTTCTGTTTCCAAGCTGAAGTTAAATGTATTTTAAATAATCTAACTTTCATTTATATCTCTTAGCCTCTTTCTTATATTTTCCATCTATTTTTTTCTCTCTGTGCTATTTTCCGAATTCTTCTGGCTCAGCTTCTAATTTACTAATTCTCTCTTATTTTATGACTAATCTGCTGCCACATTCATTCACTGATTTTTAAAATTCTAGTTACTACATCTTTTACTTCTACAATTTTACTTTTCTTTAAATATGGTGTACATTGAAAAAATAATTTTCTGTTATATTCTGATAACTTTAAGCTGTTTTTTCCTCCCCCTCGGCCCCAATAGAATAGGCTTGTTTTTTTGTTTTTGTTTTTGATTTTTATTTTTTGAGATAGAATCTCACTCCCTCATCCAGGCTGGAGTGCAGTGGCATCATCTCAGCTCACTGCAACCTCCGCCTCCTGGGTTTAGGTGATTATTCTGCCTCAGCCTCCCAAGTAGCTGGAATTACCGGCGCATGCCACCACACCCAGCTAATTTTTGTATTTTTATTAGAGATGGGGTTTCACCATGTTGGCCACGCTGGTCTCGAACTCCTGACTTTAAGTAATCTGCCCACCTTGGCCTCCCAAAATGGTGGGATTATAGGCATGGGCCACCGCTCCCAGCTGAGCTTGTTTTTGTTTTCTTGATAAAGCAAACAATTTATGTCTGATAATCTGAATTTCTCAAGCATATTTTGGTCTGTTTCTACTTTCTGTTGTTCCTGCTGGATCTCACACATATTGCCTTGTTTTCTATTGCGCATGATGATATTTTACCATTTAATTGATTTCCATAAAAATTACTTGTGAGCATTTGTGGAGGGCCCAAATAGAGGTGATATCCTCCACAGAGGAAATACATTCATTTCTTCCAAGTGCTCATTGATATGAACAACCCAGGATCACTTTAAGCTAAATTTAAGAATGGAGATAAACTGTTGACAATCTTCATGGGGTAAATTAAGCTCAGTAACACTATGAGGGTTGCAGGTGTTTATAGTCACCAGTGGCTAAGTGGGTTAGATCTTTTATTGTCTCTCTTGTTTTTATTCTCTTTCAGATTGTGGGCTGAACATTTTTTAATATTTCATCATATTCATGCTGTCTTTGGGAGGATTATTCTTTCTAACATTGTTTACACTTGTTTTCAGTTAAGGAGTTGTTAAAAAAAAAACAACCCTTACTGGAGACTGGCAATCAGAAATATGAATATGTTTACTGCAGCCATCCTTTTACTATTCATTTCTAATTTTATTGCATCATGACCAGGGAACATAACCTACATACGGTTGAATTTTTTAAGTTTATTAAGGTTTTATTTATGGTTTAATACGTAATTAATTTTTGTGAATATTTAACTTGTTCATCAAAAATAAGCATGTTCTTTTTTACATGCAACATCTCATTTATATGACAAAGTTTTGATGGTGAGAAAATGTTCAAATATAAACATTAATATAAATACAACAATATTAATATAAATATTACTTTTACTAAAATAATTAAGAAAATATTCCATTAAGGAACTTAGCAGAAACATTTTCTACAATGGTTTTAATATAAAGCCACTGTATAAAAATGTTGCTTATAAATTATTTCTTCAATAAGCAGATTGGGTAACACTATTCATAAATCAGAGAGTATTCCTTCTTTTATTGCCCAGTAATGTGTTTGTCACTTTATTATATAATAGAAGCTGGACCAAAGAAGTACTTGGTTCTAATCTTCTGGGAATATAAAAATTAGCAAAAGAAAAAAAGTAATACTATTTCTAAAAATTAAAATATTGCTATATAATACCTAATAATGCATAGCAATTTCCAGGATGTTTGCTTCAGGATATAAGTGCAGCAGAAATTTAATGAATATTTGAGCATTTAGGCAAATAATTGCGGATTAAGCAGATGGAGAATTGGGCCTTGAAAAATGAACGGACTTTGGATAGGAGCAAGTAGAAGAAATATATGTATCTATTTCAAGCTAAATATGAGTTCATCCTGATGTCTTTGACTCTACTCAATTACCAGATCATTCTAGACTTGTTTTCTTGCTTATCTGTAAACTTCTACTTGAACAGAGAGAAGTCTGGCTCCCAGCATCCCTATCATTTACATAATTGTTCAATTCTAGTATACATATACAACTTTCTCAACTGGAAGACTGTGATGGTTAATACTGAATGTCAACTTGATTGGATTGAAGGATACAAAGTACTGCTCCTGGGTGTGTCAGTGAGGGTGTTGCCAAAGGAGATTAACATTTGAGTCAGCGGGCTGGGAAAGGCAGACCTACCCTTAATCTGGGTGGGCAGAATCTAGTCAGCTGCCACTGCGGCTAGAATATAAGCAGGCAGAAAAATGTGAAAAGAGAGACTGGTCTAGCCTCCCAGCCTACATCTTTCTCCCATGCTTGATGCTTCCTGCCCTCAAACATCGGACTCCAAGTTCTTCAGTTTTGGAATTCAGACTGTCTCTCCTTGCTCCTCAGACTGCAGATGGCCTATTGTGGGACCTCGTGATCATATGAGTTAATACTTAATAACTCTCTTTCTAGTATTCTAGTATACTTATGCCACATCTTTTATAATGGTCCCACTGTTCTTGAATATTCTTTTTCTTTTTTTCACTGCATTTCAGTTTGAGGAGTTGCTACGGACATAACTTCAAACTCATTATTCTTTCCTTATCTTGTCCAGTCTTCTGATGAAGACAAATTATTTGTTGCTCTGTCAACAAAAATATCATAGAGGAAATGATAGTATGAAGCAGGGCACTGGGATAAAAAAGAGAAAGATCACAAGGCTTAGCAGACCTAAAGCAGAGCTTCATTTATTATCTGTTGCCACAGAAGAGGGCATTTTAAAACCTCATATTGTCCATGTCTTATAAAAGAAGATTTACCTTTCAGTGATAGACTCTACTTAAGTTCATAAGGTTGATGGATAAAAGCTGTAATGCTGATTTGCAAATATAAAATTGTCATAGAGATGGAAATTCTAAAACTCATGTATGTATAAGTATTATTACCTACATATATATCTGCTTACTTGGACAACTAATTCTTATCCAGAAAATTGCTTGGTAAACACATATCATAAGAAAGGGGCATGCCCAGTTTCCCAGGAATGCCGTAATAGCTTACCAAAAATCTGATAGCATAAAACAAGTGAAATTTATTCTCTCACAGTTATAGAATCTAGAAGTTTGAAATCAAGATGTAGTCAAGCCATGCTCTCTCTGAAGGCTCTAGAGGGGATTCTTTCTTGCCTCTTCTTGGCTTCTGATGTCTGGCAATCCTTAACATTCCATGGCTTGTAGATGCATCACTCTAATCTCTGCCTGCATCATTACATGGTGTTCTCTCCATGTGGTTCTGTGTCCAAAACTCCCTCTTATAGGGACACAAGTCACATCTGAGTTAGGGCCCACCCTAATTCAGTATAACTTCATCTTAACTTGCTTACATTTACAAAGACCACACAAAGACCATATTTCCTCATAAGATCACAATCGCAGGTTCCAAGCAGATGTGAATTTTGTTGGAGCACTATTCAACTCATTACAGGGAATTAAATAAATAAATTCAGTGTTTAATGGTACCAGGATAAGATAGTTTGGTAGTTTAATTCAAACATTTATCACTCAGGACTATTGTGTCAAAAGGACCATATTAAGTTGTGTGACAATGATTCCATAGTCATGTCAACAATCTTCTTGTCTTTGCTCAGGCACCAGAATACTTGAGAATCTTGGTTATGGTTCTTCCTCCTAGACATCAGTGCTGAGCTGATCTTTATGCTTCTCCTTTTCCTAAGCTTTCAACGCAGTGCTTGAAATCTGAGGTTTTAATGTATCCTCTAGATATGCTGATAAATTATTTCAGGTTTTGTAGAGTCTCCCTTTGTTAAATTAACAGCTCTATTTTGTCACCTCCACTGGGATCAATTATGGTTTGACTTCAAATCTTAAGTCTCCTGATAATTGCATTTCAATGGCTGAGACTGATGGCAACAGAGATGTTGGCTACTAGAGCCTCTGCTACAGGTGATCATAATAACCATAATAATCTCAAACTATTGAGAACTATAACTACAGGAAAGATTGCTTGTAAGAAGTACATATGTTCTACATGAATTACAGCAAATAAACACAAGATAACATAATAGGTATCCCCATTCTTTCATACCAAGAAGCTAAAACTGCTAAGTAATTTGCTGAAGATTACTTGGCTAGTAAGAAGGTGGATTGAAACAGGTTTGTCAGTATTACTCCAAAGTTCTACCTTGATGTGACAACCCCAACTAAATTAGCAACGAGTAGTATGTATACTGGAATGATCACTAAGATTCTCTTTTTTCTCTCTCTCATTCTTTTCTCCCCTCACTTCTTTTTTCCCCTTCCCTTCTCTCCCCCTCCTTTTTCTCTCTGTCTTTCCTTTTATTTTTAAACAACACATGTTTATATACATGTTTATCTCCAAAATAGAGTTTTACATAATAGTTTATTTTACCAGATAATGCTTTCCCTGGAGAGCATTTCCTGAAACAATTTTTCTTTGAATTACAGCCTGGAAAACACAATTCTGCAAGCTTCCAGTCAGTATCTACCTTGTTTTTCTCATTCTCTACTCTTGTCATGATGTCTTCACAGACAATTTTTTTGTTATTGAAATATTTGCTTTTATTCATCTTCTGCAGTTTACTAATGGAGTCTATGCATGGAAGGGGAGATTATTAAGTGGTCAGAGTGGATTTCTATTAAACACTGACCTGCTTCAATAGTCTGACTATAAACACCATGAAACAAAGTCTTTGGAAAGGTCCTACTTATGTTTTCTGTAAAGGATAACATGGTATCTTAGTCTGTTTTTTTATTACTATAGCAGACTGGGTAATTGATAAAGAAAAAAGTTATTTCTCACACGCTGGAGGCTGACAAGTCCGAGAGCATGGAACTGGTATCTGGTGAGGGCCTCTGTGTTGTATCCTCCCATAAGGGAAGGCAGAAGGACAAGAGACTGCATGTAAGATAGAGGCACCAAGGTCTGGACTAGGTTCATAACAACATACTCTCATGATAACTAATCCTTTTCCACAATAATGACCTCAATCAGCCTTCATGAGCCCTCATTACTCAATAGCCCTTTATTAGCTCCACATCCCAACACTGTTGCATTGGGTATCAAGTTTTCAATACATAAACTTTTGCTGGACAAATTCAAATCGTAGCACATGGTAATGAACCAGTCCATGCATTTATATCCATTTACTGCTTGTTTGAATTAGTTCACTAAACAGGCTTACCCCGATGTGAGGAGAGAATTTGAGTAGTGCATGTATTGGCATTAGAAAGGTAGTTAGTGCAGGTGTTCACACTGGGAAGCGTTAGTGCAGGTGCTAGTGCTGGCTTTGGAAAGGCTGAGTCTGCTGCAAAAAAGAACATGTAAATTAGAGTTGGGAGACTATTTAGGCTGGGGCTGGGGGGTGCTGCTGTAACAAATCACCACAAACTAGGTGGCTTAAAACAGTAGAAATTTGTTCTCTCACCATTCAGTGACAGGGTTTCATTCTGTTTTCTGACAGAGCTGTATTCTCTTCTGAAGACTCTAGGGGAGCATTCCTCCTTGCCTTTTCTAGCTTCTTGGTGGCTCCAGGAGTTCCTTCGTTTCCATGGCTTCATAACCTCAATCTCTGCCTTCATCTTCATACAGCCTTCTCTTTTTCTTTCTGTGTGT
This sequence comes from Homo sapiens, assembly GCF_000001405.40. Lineage (NCBI taxonomy): Eukaryota > Metazoa > Chordata > Mammalia > Primates > Hominidae > Homo > Homo sapiens. Next base: position 92,784,303 of record NC_000006.12, on the reverse strand, counting down.
CTCACTGTGTCTCTTATAAAGACACTTATCATTGAGTTTTGGACCCACCAAATAATTCAGGATGGACTCAACTCAATATATTTAATGTAGTTATTACATCTGCAAAGATCTGTTTCCTAAATAAGGTCACATTTACAGGTTCCAAAGATTAGTACATGGACATATCTTTTAGGAGGTTGCCATTCAACCCACTAAAAAGAATAAAGTTAATGGACATTTAACTTCATTCCAGTTTGTTCTTAAGGCTGACCTTGTCACTGTGTTCATGAAATTTTCAGGTTGAATATTAAAAAATGATGTTTTGAACTAATCACTCAAAAAAGATTTTATCAGTATAATTATTGTGGCTCTGAATTGCGTGGGGAGAGATAGAAATCTGAACAGGCTTGGGACCTCTTAAGAAATATGAGGTGAATAGTTAGAGGGTATGTAAATTACTAACAGTATCTCCTAACCCAGGTTGTACATGATACTGTATGCTCATTTTGTTCCCTTCTCTTACAATCATACATATGAGAACTCATATCTAAATGTTATACTATAATATCAAATTCTACATCCAATTGTCATGATTTTTTGGTATAAATCACACTATAGTAAGTTTTTAGAAACATACTTTTCCTTGAAATATTAGTATATTTATACTATTTATGTTTATAAACCTATTTTCTATCATTAATTTTATATCTTTAAATTGTGCTAAATGTCACAGAGAAAAAAGTATTCCAAGGTTTATGATTCCACATGATTCTCTACAAAACTCACTAGTTTTGTATCCCTGGAAACCAGTGAGCGGTAATAAACATTTTTTTGTATGAATAAATATTCAGAAATAAAGACAAAGTATAATTGAATAATTTAACTAAAAGCCACATGTATATTTTATGGTAAAATGCATCCATATTATTTTATTTTTAGTTTATTTCCCTAAATGTTAATAGGCTAAGAGTAACTTTGATACTATCAATGTGCTTAAAAGCAGTGATAGTTGATGAAGAATAAAAGAATAAACAGCATATCTGGTGGACATGGAGGATGATAGACAATTTAACAAATACTTATTGATTCCTTATTTCAAGCAAGGCATCGTGTTAGAATACCTGAAAGAGGTTGTGGTGAAAAGAAATAAAGTGCACTTTTTGTGGTAGCTGATCCCTATGAGGGTTTCCCACGATCCCTGTCTTCCGTAGTCAAATGCTCTGCCAATGAGATATACTGCACTGATCCCTGCCTTCTGTGTTCATATGGTTGTACGATCCCTTCCCATATGGCCTGTGTGGCCAATAGACTATGGTTAAAGTGATGCTACTGTGATTTCTAAGATTAGATTATTGAAGACACCATGGCTTCCATCTTGGCCTCTCTCTCTCTTTCTATCCCTCTCTCACCCTCCTCTCTCTCGGCATCTTTCTCTGGGTGAAGCCAGCTGCCTTGTTCTGAGAAGCATCTCTGCCTTAACATGGTGAAAAATTGAGGACTGCAGCCCACAACTAGTGAGGAACTAAGACTTAACAAGGGTCACAAGAGTGTGCTTAGTGTGCTACAATATATTTAATGTAGTTATTACATCTGCAAAGATCTGTTTCCTAAATAAGGTCACATTTACAGGTTCCAAAGATTAGTACATAGACATATCTTTTTGGAGGTTGCCATTCAACCCACTACAAAGAATAAAGTTATATTATCCAGCCCAGGTAAAGGCTTTAAGTGACCAAGACTTTGACTTAAACCTCATGAAACACATGAGTCAGAACAACCCAGCTAAGCCACTCCTGACCCTCAAAAACTATATGAGATAATAAATGTTGTTTTAAGCTACAAAATGTTGGGGTGATTTGTTATGCAGCAATAAATAACCAATACGGTTTTCATATTAATGAAAAAGGCAGTTTTGAATGGTTAATACATAAAAACATAACAAGATAACTAGGTTTTAAGTGAGTGGCATGTAAAAAAAGTGAAGAGAAGAAAAATATGATGTTCAGTTGTATTGGTAGGGTATGCTTTGCAGAAAGGAAAGAATTGAGCCAGGTAGGATTTACATAGATCTTCTAAAATGTGTGCATAAATCAATCCACACCAGATAGATGTGATTTTTATGTATGCCTTGTGGGCCAGTCTCATTACTTTATTGTTGAGGCACAGTAATCTATGCAATCCTTCATGAATTCCCTCAGTTAATTAGTTTCCTGGAATATTGCTGGGTGGCATATTCAGCTCTTGCTACTTTGCAGCACCTTTGGAAATATGTGAATTACAGGACATACAGTTTTGCTGGAAAGTTATGCTAAGAGGCTTAATTCACAGAAAATATATAACATGTGCAAGCCAATATTAAGTATATAGATTGCAAATAGTTACTCAGAAATCTACAGGAACCATAGCAGCAACACCTATTCACTTCTCTTAGGGCACTTACTGCTTTGTTCCTTTTCCTGCATGGATAGAGAGTACTTTAGGGTTCAGTGTTCTTGACTTTTGTGGAATGTTACTACCTATGTAGAATGTTAGAAGAATGTTAGAAGAAGCTGGAATTTTCCTGTTAGCTTTTCTTTAATGAAAATGCCACCTTTCTTCACAAACTAAGCTAATGCTTGTTCTGCCTCCCAGTTAACATCAGCCTGTGATCTCGTCTCAGTTTGGAAAACCCACTCAACTCTAACTGTAGGCTGTCCATCGTGCTTTATACCCAAGCATGGGAAATCACTAGGAATTTCCATACTTCGGCAGTGATTCAGAAAGAAGACAGGGGTAGGGGCAGGTAAAATGTAAAACTAATCCCTTTCATTGAAAATAGCCATTTTGTTTTTATTCATTCTAAAGTTTGCTCTCTTAGATTAGATCCTCTAGTAACAGTTCTTCATCTCCCAGTGCTGCTCTCTTAGACTTGTAGCAAAATATTAAACCTTTGTACAGGTGCTTCTCAACTTACAGTGAGATTATATCCCAACAAACTCATCCTACATTGAAAATTTTGTAAGGTTAAAATGCACTTAACACATCTAACCTACCAAATGTCATAGCCTAGCCTAACCTTAAACGTGCTCGGAACAGCACTACACTTAGGTTACACTTAGCCTACACTTGGGCAAAATCATCTCACATGAAGTCTATTTTATGATAAAGTACTGAATATCTTATGTAATTTATTAATACTGTACTGAAAGTGAAAAACAAAATGGTTGTATTTGTACTAAAATATGGTTTCTACTGAATGTGTATTGCCTTCACATCACCTTGAAGTAAAAAAAAATTTAAGTGAAACAATTGTAAGTCAGGGACCATCTGGATGGGATTTGTAGGTAAAACACACAGGGCTTTCAAAACTTATGTTAGAAGAAATTCATGGGAAGGTTTCAGGGTCTATCAGTAAAACTCTATATAAAAGGATTTTTCTAAATGGTCATTTAGAATAGTTGAGGTGTGCATTGTCCATGAGATGGATGACATCATTAAACAGGGTAACTAATGTAAATATTTTAAGCAAATCCTGTAAAAAGTGAGAAATATAGTTTTGTAAATTTTCAAAAGAATTTTTCCAATTTTTTTGAATTCTTCCATTTTGGTGGTGAAAGTCTAAATGAGGCATGAGTGTGCTGACTTGTCATCACTGATGTTCAGTTCATTGGTGGGTCATCTATTTAGTCTGTGTGACACTTTGCTTCTCTGCATGTGTTGCCTTATAAGAGAGGGAGAGGAAGAGGGAGAAGGAGAAGAAGGGAGAAGGAGAAGGAGGAAGAAGGAGAGGGAGCACTTTAGAAGTTATGCAAGGAAAAGTACATTGATGGGAAGATTTTGTAGTATTTTAAAGTAGATATCCTACTAAGCAGTACAAGTCTCCACAAACTTAGTTCCACTAGAAGTCATAAAGGCAATTCAGTAAATGCTTTCTCACTTTCATAGTCATTATGCTATTTACTGGCACTTATCAAGAATCAGTCTCATCATTGTTGAGGAAAAACAAGAGGTTCATATGACATGCTGGAAAATCTTTTTGACTCTTAACAGTTCTTCCAATTTCAACATAAAAAGGCAGAGGAAAAAAGCAGCACCTTGTTACAATTAGGAAGGATGGCTCTTCTGTTTTCTCTTTCCAGCGTCATGCCCAGGCACTCAAAACCTTTAATCTCACTTTTCCACTGTATGATAGACAGCATTTCAATGCCAACACTCAGAGAGTTGTCCAGGAAATAGTTACTTAGCAGGGGGAAAAATCAGCTAATTGATTATGGAGGCATAAAAATTTCTGTTTAGCAAAAATGATTGTTTGGCCTCTGCATTTGTGTGGCTGTTTTGAACTTGACTCACTGCTCTGTAGCTGGAGCTTGTCATCCTGGCTCCTGGCCAGGGCATTCATTACCTCTATTAAGGATCTTGTGTACGTCCTGGGAAATACTAATGCTTCAGCTTCTTTGTGTGCCTTTGTTTGTTCTTAAGGCAGCACTCAGTAAAGAATAATTTATAGGAGGTGAAGAGAGAAAAAGTTCTTTCCACATCAATCAGAAAATGAAATTAGTATACTGTGGGAGAAAAAAATATGATACAGCTCTAATATGTGTTCTTGACAATTGGTCTTTTCTTTTCATGAAGTGTTTTGGGTCTGCCACCCATTTTCCATTTTTCATTTGCTAGTCTTTCATTTCTTTCATCTACATACTCCCTTAGCCAAAAATTCCTTCTTTCTCATCACCCATCTTCTGCCTTCCAGTGAGATAGCATTTTACCAAGATCTTTCTTTTTTTTTTTTTTTTTTTTTTTTTCATTTTAACAAGGCTTTGTCAAAAAATTTAAGCTCTAGACCTGGCTTGGCTCAATAGTACAATCAAGACAGACCTCCTAGATTAAAAGCTCTATTTTTCAAACCTAGTGTAGGATTTCGCTTAGGTTGATTGTGACATGCACAGTGATAGCTTCTGTTTATATATACCTATCAAATTATGTGCAATTGCAATGACTAAATTAGGTATCCTGTGTGCTAAAACACAGGCTTCAATTTTGATATCATGTCAACAAGAAAGGCCAAATGATATTTTGGGTCACTAAAATAGTTTGTTCAATAGATATTATTAGAACACATGACAAAAAATTATCCCTGTCCTAGCAACTTCATCTGTGCCAAAGAGATTGAGGAATGTTTCAGACTTTATAAATTGTTTTCTAAATTCAACAGAAAGTCAGAAAAAAATCAAAATAAGACTAAAATAATCCCAGATTGTTAAAGTGTTCTATTATTGGTTGAAGGCTTTTACACATGATATTTTGCATGAGCCTTAATTAACATGTTCTGTATATCCTTTCTTTGTCCTGACATGACTCAGTAATTAACATATTTTCTGTGTAATATATTTTGGTTGACCACAATATGGAAGATGTATATTGTGAATTTTCATATTTTGGGTTTCACAATTTGTAATCTCCAAGTTTTCTGAAAAACCATGAAACCTCTGCTCAATCTCTGTAGCTTTGCTTAGTTGCTACTAAATATAAATAAAATAAAAATTAAAATAGCAAATTTATATATTTCTCCTTTTGATTTCATTTTCTAGAAGGCTGGAGCCATTTCCCTTATATTTTCTCTATAGCTCATTGTGGACAATGAATAAATATATGAAGTAAATTATCAATAATTGCATGCAGTTCTATTTCCATCTGTTTTTGTTTGCCTTAGAAGGGTAAGATAAATTTATTGGCCACATTGTTTATTACCTGTTCAACACAAAGAGGAGTTGTAGAATAATTGTTTCTTTTTATTCAGCCTTCCTCATTGAGGGTCTATATCCTTTTTATGGGTGATAAGCTGATAATTTCAAGCTTCTGTTTTTACCTTTTTTTTTTTTTTCACACTCCTTCAATAATTCATTGCGTAAACCAAACTCTGAGCAGTTGAGTTGGGAAAGGTTTATATGTGCATGTCTCTATCATAGATGTTTTCTTTGCTCTAGAATGCACATATTTCCCTATGAGAAATTGAGAGGACAGCTAGCTTTATGTGCTTCTGAAAGCCTGGCATTGTGAGTTTCTTTTGTACATAATAACTGCAGGTGCTTTCTGGCGGAGAAATGATCCTGTGATCTGATAGCCGGTTTTCACATTCTGTGATCATGGCCAGTTCACAGAATACAACAAAGGTGGAAGATTGTTGTCTTCCCCTGGGTTGCCTAAAGTTACAGTGCTGATCTTTTGACCCTTAATTTCAGTAAGTTTGATTGCTCAAGGAACCCCAGTGTGCCTATTTGGAGCTGGTGTGGCATTTTGCTGTGGAATTGATGGTCAATATCCTAACATGCACATAGTTTTTAGAAGGCACATAGAGTCTTTTATGTAATTGTCTGGCATTTTAAATAGTTAAATGCAACCAATGTCTAGGATAAACTACCTTGAGTAGTTTAGTGGAATGTCTTAGGCCTGATGATGTATTTTGACAAACGATTACTGTGATTAGAGTGTCACTGCTTTCCTCCTTATGAAGTAGAACATTGTCCGCCCTGAGACTGCAGAGTCACAAGAGAAATGCAGTCAGTCTTCATTGAAATAAAGCCAGCACATGAATTTGGATTTTTCAAAAATGAAATTATTATAATAAGGGATTTTAAAATAAGTAATGCAACATGGTATTAAAAATGGCTAATCTTGCTTCATTACTAATCTTGTGCCACATTAAAATGAATTGGTTTTACTAAGTATTTTAATTGTTTCCCCTTCTGATTTTCATTTCCTTACTCATCATCAGCATCTCTCATCAGCCAGAGTTTAAAATATTCTCTGTCCTTGTTCATCCCATGGAAACTGATCAGGTATTTAAACTATGAATTAGTTTCTCCATAATAACCACACTTGATTCTACTTGCAAATCATTTAATTTAAGACCATGTTAATTTTTGCCTCACTAAATGCTGCCTCGTTCTCAATTCCTGCTTTGTTTCTCAAAAGGTGACTTAGTTGATGCAGTTAAGTGCCTTTTAACCACTAGAGGGAAACATACCAATCTACTATGAGCAATGCAGTGTTTTCAAATGGTAAATATCCTCCTGAAGCTGTAGGTTCTGCAATTGTTTTCTGTGATCTTTTCCCTCTGAATATTGACAGCATTATAATGAGGAATCAGCAAAGGGTATATATTGATAAAAAATTTAGAGAAGATAGTTTCCTTTTTATTGAATAATTTGGAACCTATTTATTGCTGTAGTAAATTCATTTTCTAAGTGAATAAATATCCCCAGGTCACTAAGGTTATGCTTCTATAATGCAAGAATTCCTTTGCACACTAATTCTGGAAAGGAATGTTCTTTAAATGTTGATGTACTGTATTCACACAAAACATATTGAGTGAATAAGCAAGCATTTACTGAATGTTGCTTCATTATTAGAGAGAAAAATATCTTTCAGACAGATCAGATTCTGTTTGCGTCCTAGATTAGTGATGTAAGAGCATTCTACAGATTGTTCTCAGTATTGCTCTGGCTCAACCATACTTTAATTATTAAGTTTATTATTGTTTGAAACAGGGCCTCCCTCTTTCACCCAGACTGGAGTGCAGTGGTGTGGTCATGGCTCACTGCAGCCTCTACCTCCTGGGCTCAAGGGATCCTCCTGCCTCAGCCTCTTGAGTAGCTGGCAATATAGGCCCAAGCCTGGCTGATTTTTAAATTTTTTTGTAGAGGTAGTCTCGCTGTGTCACCCAGGCTGGTCGGGATCTCCTGGGCTCAAGCAATCCTCCCACCTTAGCCTCACAAAGTGCTTAGATTACAGGTGGGAGCAACCACACCTGGCTAAGTATATTATTTAAAAAACAATTATCTGCCAGCCGGGCATGGTGGCTCAAGTCTGTAATCCCAGGACTTTGGGAGGCCAAGGCAGGCAGATCACTTGAGGTCAGGAGTTCAAGACCAGCCTGACCAACATAATGAAGCCCCTTCTCTACTAAAAATACAAAACTTACCCAAGTGTGGTGGCAGTCACCTGTAATCCCAGCTACTCAGGAGGCTGAGGCAGGAGAATCGCTTGAACCTGGGAGGCGGAGGTTGCAGTGAGCTGAGATTGTGCCACTACAGTTCAGCCTGGGGGACAGGGTTAGATTCCATCTAAAAAAAAAATAAAATTCTATACTTAGTTTATTATTTATACTCAACGATACTTGATATGAACCCAGTTGCAGCAGTTATGCAACACCATCTCTTTTTCTAAGAGCTTTATGGAAATTTGAAACAGGAATTTTATAGAATCAAGCACAGCGTTGAAGGCTAAGGCTCATGATATCAATGCTAGATGAATAGATTTCAGGGAACTGGCTAAAAATACAAAGGTAATTCTGGAGCAATTAATGGCTATAAAAAGTGAAGATACGGCCCGGCGCGGTGGCTCATGCCTGTAATCCCAGCACTTTGGGAGGCCAAGGAGGGCAGATCACGAGGTCAGGAGATCGAGATCATCCTGGCTAACATGATGAAATCCCGTCTCTACTAAAAATACAAAAAATTAGTTGGGCATGGTGGCGGGTGCCTGTAGTTCTAGCTACTTGGGAGGCTGAGGCAGGAGAAGGGCATCAACCCAGGAGGCGGAGGTTGCAGTGAGCCAAGATCACGACACTGCACTCCAGCCTAGGCGACAGAGTGAGACTCCGTCTCAAACAAAAACAAACAAACAACAACAAAAAAAAAAACGTGAAGATACAGAAGCAGGTCACAGCATTTAGGGAAACTCTGGACATGAGGAATATTTGAATATTGTAAGTGGTATTCATAAATACTCTAAAAACAGTGTTTTTAATGCATGTTGCAAATGTTTTGTTTTACTTTTTTAATGTGCAGAAAAAGTACAAGATGCTGAGTACTTGTACTTGATGTTAAGTTTCACTTAACAAAATGGCCTCTAGTTCCATCTACGTTATTGCAAATGGCACAGGTTAATTCTTTTTTATGGCTGAATACTATGCCTCTATGTATCACATTTTCTTGGTCCACTCATGCATTGATGAACACTTAGGTTGATTCCATATCTTGGCTGTTGTGAATAGTGCTGCAATAAACTTGTCAATCATACTTTTTCTTCTCTAAGGGGCACTAGTTAATAGGTATGACTCTTCACCATTTCTTTCTAATCTTTTGTAATTTACTTAAAATCATTTGATCATTTTTTATTAGATTTCGTGTATAATGCAATCCTCATTTCTAGTTTACTCATTGATTTATTTTTTTTCCAGTATGCCAAACCCCTGAAATAACTTTAAGACCAGATATACCTTTTTTAAAAAGATTGGGTTAGAAAAAAAGGGACATTTTCTCTTTCAAAGTTGAAAATCATTTCTTTGAATTTGTAATAATTACCTGTATGAGTAACATTGCAGAAACATCTTTATAATTTTTCCTAGTGCACTGTTACACAGTAGAACTGTATTCAATGATGTCATATTCTGTACTGTCCAATATAGTAGCCACATGTTGTTATTGAGTACTTCAAATGTGACTATGACTGAAGTACTGAATTTTTACTTTTATTTAACTTTAATTAATTCAAAATTTAAATAGCTACATGTGGCTAGTAGCTATTATACAGAAAAACATAGACCTAGGGTCTATGTTTGTTTTAAAAATACTCCATGTATGTTTACAAATGGTATAATTGTTGGATTTAGGATTGCATATATATTCACTAGATCAAGTTTGCTAACAGTGTGATTCAAATCTTCTATAGCCTTATACATTTATGTTTTGCTTAGCCTATCAATTACCTGGTGGATTTGAATTTTAAAATATTCTATGTTGTGATTTTCCTATTTCCTCTTGTAATTATGCCAATTTTTTACTTATACATTTTTCAGTTATGTTATTAATACATCCATATTATGATGTTTATTTATCTATGGATTCAGATTTTATCATTACGTATTAATCTTTGAAATTAATAATTACTTTAAATGCTTTCTAAAAGAATTAAGCATACTTTGGGGGTTCCTTTTTAGATCTATTTTCAAGATTTACTTTCAAACATAATATATTCATTTTTTCTTAGATGTCTCTCTTTTAAAAACTTATATTTATTGCTTTTACTCATATGTGTGAATTCACTTCTACTATAGTATTTTATACTTTCTACTTGTCCTTATTTTTCTATGCTTCTTTTGTATTTCTCCTGTTCTTCTTCTTTATGGATTGATTTTTTAATTCTATTTTTTATGTACCAATGTAGAAATTATACACACCACTTTCCTAAGTTAATTACCCTAAAACATTAATATACACATTTTAATTTAATCATGCCTAAGGTAAAACAATAATTGGACCTTCCTTCTGAACAATCCAAAGACATAAAAGATCTTCTCTCTGATTAAGTATTGTCTTCATTTTATATGGTTGTCTAATATAGTAGTTTTGTCTGTGTTTTAACATTGCAAAATTAAATATTATCATTTAGATATTGTCAATGCTTGTTTTGATAGTCTAATTTATTTGCTTAACATAACTTTTTACTCTAAGACATTCCTTCCACAATTATTTTCCATCTTAAAATACATCTTTCATTGACTGGGCGCAGTGGCTCATGACTATAATCCTAGCATTTTGCGGGGCGAAGGCAGGTGGATTGCTTGAGTTCAGGAGTTTAAAAGCAGCCTGGGCAACAATGGTGAAACCCTGTCTCTACAGAAAAAAGAAAAATGCAAAAATAAGCTGAGTGTGGGGTTGCATGACTGTAGTCCCAGCTACGTGAGAGGCTGAGGTGGGAGGATTGATTGAGCCCAAGAGACGGAGGTTATAGTGAGCTGTGAATGCACCACTGCACCCCAGCCTGGGTGACACAGTGAGAGCTTGTCTCGAACAACAACAACAACAAAAACAACAACAAAAACCCTTAAAAACTAAAACAAAACTCATAAACAAACAAAAAACCCTGAATACATCTCTAATGAATGATATGTTGATGATAAAAATCTCAATGTTTTGTTTGAAATTCTAGGTATTTAGCACTGAACTTTTAATGATGATGAAAGATAGTTGATGGTTATTTTCTCTCAATACATTGAAAACAGTTTTCATTGTCTTTGAAGGAATCTTTATTTATTTCTTTTTGGAAACTTTGGACTCTTTGTCTTTGACTGTTTTCTATAGTATGACTGGTCTCATTATGTAACTTAAAAAATTTTATTTTAGTTATTTAGAGGCATATCTTTTTTTAATGTGCTTTGCTTTATTGTGCTGCATACATACAGCATGTTTTTATAGATTGAAGTTTTCTGGCAACTCTGCATCAAGCAAGTCTTTTGCCAACACTTTTCTAACACTACAGGCTCACTTCATGTCTGTATCACATTTTGGAAATTTTTGCAGTATTTCAAATTTTTTCAGTATTATTGTATCTGCTATGATGAGATGTGGTCAGTGACCTCTGATGTTACTATTGTAATTGGTTTGGAGGACCATGAACTGTGCCTGTGTGAGACAACAAACTTAATTGATAAAGGTTGTATGTGTGCTGACTGCTTCACGACTGACTGTTGCCCATCTTTCTCACTCTCTTTGGGCCTCTTTATTCCCTGAGACACAAAAATATTGAAATTAGGCCAGATAATTACCTTACAATGGCCTCTAAAGGTTCAAATGAAAGGACAAGTTACACACCTCTCATTTTAAATAAAAAGATGTGATGGAAATAGAAAATTAACTACAATTAGAAGTGGAACCCAAAGATATAACTAAATTGCTGTAATCTGATGGTAAAACCTGAATATATGGGGAGTTACTTCTTATGGATGAGCAAAGAAAGTGGCTTCTTGAGATGAAATCTACTCCTGGTGAAGACACTGTGAACATTGTTGAAATATCAAAGGATTTAGAATATTATTAATTTGGTTCATAAAACAGAGGCAGGGTTTGAGAGAATTGACTCCAATTTTTAAAGACATTCTATTGTGGGTAAAATCTATCAAACAGTATTGCATGCTACAGAGAAATCTCTATAAAAGGAAGAGTCAATTGATAGGGCAAACTTCAGTGTTGTCTCATTTTGAGAAATTGCATATACCCCCATAACTAAAATAAAAGCTGAAAATTAAAAGAAAAATAAGTTGCTACAGCTTGTCCAACCTTGAGCAACAACCACCCTTATCAGTCAGCAGCGATTAACAAGGAGGCAAGACCTTCTATAGACCTTCTACTGTGCTGAAGGCACAGATAATTGTTAATTTTTTTTTTAGCCAAGAGTACTCTGTAATTAAGGGAGGTACATTGTTTTTTAGGCATAATGCTATTGCACATTGAATAGACTTCAGTATAGCATAAAACAACTTTCATATGCACTGAGAAACCATAAAATTATTGAATCACGGGGGGCAGTTATGTCCATGCTGTTCTCATGATAGTGAGTTCTCACGAGATCTGATGTTTTTATAAGGGGCTTCCCCAGCTTTGCTATGCACTTCTCCTTCCTACCACCATGTAAAGAAGGATTTGTTTGCTTCCCCTTCTGCCATGATTATAAGTTTCCCGAGACCTCTCCAGCCATGCAGAACTGTGAGTCAATTAATCCTCTTTCTTTATAAATTACCCAGTCTTGGGCAGTTCTTTATAGCAGTGTGAGAATGGGCTAATACACTTGCTCTTTAATATATATATATATTTTTAATTGAACATATTAAACATATGATTTTCTGTTCAAGATCCAGTAATTGTGTTATTTGCATTCATGGGGAGTGGAATTCTTCTTTTATTCAACTGTTTTTTCTAGCTCTTCTTTTCTTAAATATTTTTAAGTTTTGGAATGTGAACTCAGGTTTGGCTGAGTTTATCTTTGGGAATACTAAAACTCGATTTGAGGAAGTATCTTTCCAATAATTTTAGTTTCTTTCTGCCAGGTACACAAAAATTCCAGCAATCTAGGGTCAATTTAATTAAACTTAATTCCTCTTAAGCTAGCTAAGATGAACATTTAGGTAGAATATATAAGAAGCTAGCATCTGTGTGAAAGCAAGCCTAGGGTAATAAATTTTTATAGGAAGTTTTCTCAGATTAAACAAAACAACAACAACAACAACAAAAACAACCCCCCCTCCAAAAGAAAACCTCCCTTTGCTCATGATTAGTTGTCTTAGTCTATTTTGTGCTGCTATAGCAGAATACATGAGACTGGGTTAGTTATAAAGAACAAATTTATTTCTCACAGTTCTGGAGGCTGGGTAGTTCAAGATCAAGGTGCCAGCATCTAATGACGACCTTCTTGCTGTGCCAGCTCATGGTGGAAGGTAGAAGGAAAAGAGAGCGTGAGAGAGAGAGAGAAAGTAAAACAAGGTGAACTCCCCCTTTTATAATCAACCCACAACTGAGATAATAAACTCATACTTGTGATAATGGCCTTAATCCATTCACTCTACATTCATTGCCTAATGACTTTTCATTAGGCCCAACCTCCCAACAGTGTTGCACAGACGATTAAGTTTCCAACACATGCTTTTTCGGGGACATGTTCAAACCACAACATTCTACCTCTGGCCCCCCAAATTCATGCTCTTCACCCATGTAAAATACATTTATTTCATCGCAGTAGCCTCAAAGTCTTAACTGATTCCAGCACGAATTAAAAAGTTCAAAGTCTAGGGTCTTATCTAAATCAGATATGGGCAAGACTTAAGGCACGATTTATCCTTAGGCAAATTCCCCTCCAGCTGTGAGCCTGTGAAATCAAAATACATTATGTGCTTCCAAAGTACAATGGTGAGGCAGGCATAGGATAAATATTCTTATTCCAAAAAGGAGAAATAGGCAAGAAGAAAGGAGGAACAAGCCCCAAGTAAGTCCAAAACTTAATAGGGATGACAACATTAAAATTATTAAATCCAGAATAATCTTTCACTCTATGTGTTGCCTCCCAGACACTCTGTGGTAGAGATTGGGCCCCAGTGCCTCAGGTAGCCCTGCCCTTATGGCTTTTCTGGGCTCAGCCTTAAGTAATTGCTCAGGAGTAGCTATCACATGTTGAAATCCACTACCTGCAGTTCTCCCAGACTGGGGCTGCACACTGGTGTTTCTATAGTTCTGGGGTCTTGGTGGCAGCCCCATTTCTGTGGCACCACTGGTTACTGCCACAGTGGGAACTCTGGAGTGACTCTTCCCCTGTGGCAGTTTTCTGCCTGGGCCCCTAGTTTGTCTGACACAGCCTTTAAAATCTAGATAGAGACAACAATGGCTGCACAGCCCATGCACTTTGCATGCCTGCAGAATTAGCACTATGTGGATGCTACGAAGGCTTACCACTTGCACCCTCCAGAGTGGTGGTCTGAGCCTCATCCGGGCCTGCTCGATTCATGGCAGGGGTGGCTGACGGGCACTGCACTGGAACTTGGGGAGCAGAGACTCTAGGTGGCCCTGGGCAGCAAGGTTATTCTGCTCTCAAAGTCCTAATATTCGGAGTAATGGTAGGGGCAGCCTGAAAGATCTCTGAAATGCCTTTAAGTTCATTATCTTATTGTCTTGATGAATATCACCGGGCCTCCTTCTAGCCATACTAATCTTACCAAACAGTCCCTTGGCCACACTCTTGATATTTTCTCCCTAACATACTTTTTAATTATTTAATGGCCAGGCTGAGAATGTTCTAAATTTTTATGTTCTGCTACATTTTTAATTATAAATTCTATCTTTAACCCTTTTCTCTCCTTTCTCATTTTACTGTATGCAGTTAAAAGAAGCCATGCAGATCCTTCTATATTTTGTTTGGAAATTTCTTCTGCTAGATATACTAGTCCATCACATTTAAATTCTGCCTTCCATAAATCCCTAGGGTATGACTGAAATTTAGCCTGTTCTTTGCCTCTTTATAAAAAGGATGGCCTTTACTCCAGTCCCCAACACGATATTCCTCATTTCTGTCTGAGACCTCAACAAAATTGTCTTTATAATTCATATTTCTTCACAAATTCTTATCATGAATCCATTAGTAATTGCTAAGAATTTCATATTTTTTTACAGTTTTTCTTTTCTTCTGAGCCCTCACCAGAATTGCCCTTAATGCTCCATTCATGGCAATACAGGGTTTTTTCTATCCTGCTCCTCTGAACTCTTCCAGCCTCTGTCCATTACTTAGTTCCAAAGCTGTTTCCACATTTTCAGGTATTTGTTATAGCAACGTTCTGTTTCTCTGACATCAATTTTCTGTCTTAGTCCAGTTTTCATTGCTGTAACAGAATATGTGAAATTGGATAATTTATAAAGAACAGAAATTTATTTCTTCATGGTTTTATAGGCTGGGAAGTCCAAGATCAAGTTGCCAGCCTCTGATAAGGACCTTCTTGCTTTGTCATCCCATGGTGGAAAGCAGACGGTAAGACAGGGTGAGAAAGAGAGAGTAAAAAGCCCAAATTCCCTCTTTTATAACAAACCTACTCCCACAATAATTAATCCCCTCACATGATAGCAGCATTAATCTCTTCACTCTGCCCGTATTACCTAATCACCTCTCATTAGGTCCCACTTCCCCACACTGTTGCATTGAGGATTAAGTTTCCAACACATGCTTTTTGGGGAACACATTAAAACCACAGCAGTGATATTGTATCCAATATTCTCTTTTCCTAAAGGTATATTCTTTAAGGAACCTGGTTTTATGCACAACTCTCTGTCACAACTCCCCAAGTTACCATCACCAAGGGTTCTCCTCCTACCCCGAGAAGTTATGACACCTACGTCTCTGCAAGCACCCACGGTCACTGTGAATTGGAATTTCCTTATCACTCTGCTGTTGTGATTTATATTTTTGGTTCCTGGGTAGTGTTCTTCCTGTTTTGTGAGCATAAGTACACATTTGCAACAGTATATTTCAATGCTTTACTTAGAATTTCTAGGTGTTTTGTTGTAGGAAGGTTTCAAAGAATAATCTAGACTAAATAATTTCTTATATGTTTTGAATGCATTATTGAAATTATTCTTTGTAACTAGAGGATACACTATGGCTACATGGCTTTCTCCCTTTCTATAAATTATCCAGTTTAATTTTATTATAAGCTTTTTTGAGGGAAACAATAAAAAAACTTTTCTATCTCTACAAATAAAACAAAATTACTCAAAGAAGAGATGTAGTTTATTTTGAACACTATCAAGAATACACATATTTTATTCAGGAGAGTGATACATATAGGTATATTTCTTCATAACTATTGATAAAGGAAGAAAAGGTCAATATATTCACTAAACATGATTACATCTCCCTCTGGCAGGGTCTTAGGCACACATAATAATGAGACAAGTTATATTCTTCCAAAGTTGCCTACCTTTGTCATTTTCTAAACCTATTTTATATGTTTCATTTTTGACACATACACTCTTATTTTTATATTATTTTCAGTGATATAGATAATATTTTAAGTTAAACTGTAATCTACATATCTTTGCTTTTGATCTCTGTTGTCAGAGCTATGCCATATGAATTTCTACAATAGCTTACTAGCTAAGCTATAATGTCTGTTAGAGGCACCCAAAATTATAAACCCTAACAGGGCTACTGAAATCTGAATGGTTGATTATAATAAAGTTTATTTTCTTTTAAGTTAATGTCAGGTACTATGTAATTTAAAATATACTTCCGAAAAAATATTATAGCACATTATCTATTCCCAAAAAAGATAAAAATTATAAATGTTATCATATTGTTCTATTATGTAAACAATCATCATTTTAATAAGAAATTTTTAGGTGAAATCATATCACATTAAACAAAACAAATTCAGAATACAAAATAATGTTAAACAAAAGGTACTATCACATTATATGCATATATCTTAATTTCAGAAATGTCAAAATCTGAACATGTGTTTTAAAATCAAGGCAATATAGTGATTTACATAATACACCACCGTATGAGGAAATGAGAGACATATTCAAGTCCAATGGTAGAGTGTCCTAGAGCCTTGATTTAAAGTGGGAGAGATTTAATCTTTGTTGGGTGAGGTTTTGCACATGTGATGTTGTAGGGCAAATATGCAAAGATGTTTATACACCTGATCTAATTGTGGTGACTAGTCATAGTGCCTGGAGTTATTGTTTGTGTAGGGTTCTGTGCTGAATCCAGGAAAGAGGAGTTTGTTGCTCATAGATGCAGAACAAAGAAATGGGAGCATGAATGCTTCAGGTTTGCTATGTGTGTCCCCAGTAATTGGCTTATTCACCTTATGGTAGATCTTATGCTTCTATATCTTCTAAATACCTAGTTGAACAGTGAAGGTCAGGCTGGTTTTTCATATAAAAAGATGGCAAGGTGTCCTTATTTCTGTGCTGAAGCCACTCTAACCCTCCCCGAAGTTTACATAAGGCATACAACTACACTTGAGGATTAATGATAAGATTGAGTACCCATGGAAACGGTTTATTAGTAGTAGAATAGAAAGTGCATTCCAATTGACATGTAGAACATGCTAACCACCAGTTAGTGATCCTAATTTCATTCAGGGAAGAAGTATTTTTTTTTTCCCTGCCTATTTTTATACCTTCCTAAACTTAAAGAGAAAAATTAAGTTTAATGCTTTTGATTAATATTAATGAGAACTAGGCCATAATTTTATGAGGCTGGCTGTGACATGGCTTCTTTTTAAAATGGTGAAACTACTAAGGTAACTTAAGTCAATATTGATTCTAAGTGGAAACTAAATTGAAGCTTATATGCTATTGGGAAAAATAATTAAAAATCAGATTAATTTTATGCCTTTGGAAAAGACATAAATCTCTTGTGCTGCTCCAGCTGCTGTGAGACAATGACATGTGGGAAGATATAAATCAAGAAGAAACAATACTAGCCAGTGCAATTTCATTTAATATAAGAGAAACAAAAATGACGATGATTATTGATTCTGGCAAATGTGTTAGCATTTTATAGACTATTACATGTGAATATCTTAAATTTTATGCTAAACTAGAGGTGAAAGATTTAAGTCATTTATACCAAAATTATTTAGTGCCTATAATGTGACAGGCACTGTGCCAGCCTCTGGAAACATATAGGTGATTAAAAAACAATTTTAACTTAAAACAGTTTATAGATTAGCAGGCAAGACAGATGGGAAAGTTATTAGTAAAGCAAAGTAATGATAGAAGCATGTAGGTTCTCTTTGGAAATTAAAGAATGCCTTGGTAAACCTGGGGGAGCCAGTGACATTTTACAGCAGAAGCTTGGATCAAAGGACACATAAAATTAAAAAGCAAAAGCAACTCAATCTAACTGTGTCTAAAAGAAGGAAATACAATTTTTTCAACATTATATAAAGGAACACTAGGAAACCAAGTTGAAAGTGCCCTTAATGTATACATTTAAGGGTGGGAGGAGATGAGGAGTGTGTATGAAAGGGTGAGTATGCAGAGGAGGGGAAACACAGATAGATCTAAAACTTAGGAGAAGAGAAAGCAGAAATGAAAGAAACCTTCTAAGACAACATTTTTAGTAGTGGATCTGGGCTGCATGCCTGCCTTTCAGGATTCAGGATAGCTTGTTAGCATCAACACTTTTGCTCGTAAACCTGCATAGAGTTAGTACTCCTATCATTCTTTTTTACAAATTATTTTTATTTTGTTTATGTTATTTTAATTTTGAGACACATTCTCACTCTGCTGCTTAGGCTAGAGTGCAGTGGCACGATCTCAGCACACTGTAACCTCCGCCTCCCAGGTTCAAGCAATTCTCATGCCTCAGCCTCTCAAGTAGCTGGGACCAGAGACATGCATCACCATGCCCAGCTAATTTTTGTATCTCTTGTAGAGATGGGATTTTGCCATGTTGCCTGGGCTGGTCTCGAACTCCTAGGCTCTAGCCATCTGCTCACTTCAGCCTCCCAAATTGTTGAATCACAGGTGTGAGCCACCATACCTGGCCCATCATTTTTACTGACAAAACAGTCTTTGATCTTGTCATTTATTTTCCTGCATAACAAACAAACAGAATATATCTCTCAGTCCTCATTACAGATTGAATAGTATTCAGAATTTCAAGGCTTGCTCTTTAGGTTCTTCATTATTTGGCACAGAATTGTCTCTCTTACTCAACCCCAAAGCTCTGCTCCAGATGAGTGGGTCTCCTCATTGCCTTCTGTGTACATAAGCCCTGCATAACATATACCTATGGCTTACATGCAGGGCTTATGTAAATGTCCTGCCCAGGAAGTCTTTTTGAGAACTTTGCTATTCCTGGTACTTAATGTGTTAGACTTTAGATTGCTACAAACTGGTAATTCAGACTATTTTAATTAATGATGGCTCTATAAGGGCTTTATGAAACAAGTGAAGAAGCCAGAAAGAAATCCCTGCAGATTCAGAACCAGAATTCATTGATAACTGAGATTTTCAGAATGCAACAGCAGCAACTCCCAGCCTGGGAGAAGCTCAGATAACAAAGCCCTGGCTCTGTTGGTTTGTCTCCTGAGAAGTGGGTGTCTTCATGTTAGTGCCCACCAGTGTCCTGCCTTTGCTTCTTCCCTTTTTGACTTTTTTTCTCAATGTCGTTCACGTAATTCTTGGATCTTCTGACTCACTGTATTTGTTTATTTCTCTCTTTATGCATCTTTTCTATCTTGTACGTCTTTTATCAATGGACTCTGCATATATCACAATAAAACTTCCTGAGAGAAAAGATTTGATTTGCTTCATAAATCAGCATCAAGAAGACAGTAATTTTAGGCACTTCCCTAGGCTTTGTAAGACTCTGGAGTCAAGTACCATAGCTTTTTCAAAATCCATGACCAAGGTAATGATTATGGCAGTAAGTAAAATTCCTAATGTATACAAAAATCTGCCATGAAAAAGCATTTTGTAAGTGGCAAGAATACAATTTCTCTTTTGTCTAAAGTCCAAAATATTTATTATGTATAACAAATTTGGTGAATTACAAATTTGTTTTTTGACATCAACTCTCCTCTTGATTGTAGGTCTAATTTTAAATTCTTGCTTCATTTTCTATAGATTTGGGTCTCATCTCTCAAACTAGAATATGGAATCTGTAAGAGCAGGAAACTTTAAAATACTTTTTGTATTTCTTACATTGCCTTTATATGGTAACTTATATCAGAAATGTTTAATAAATAGTTATTGATTTAAATATACAACTCAATCTGTTTTTCTATAACATTTCTGATGTGATCAATTGTTCATGTATGTTATTTCATTTGTTTCCCATAAGAAGAAGCTATTTAAAGTAGACATCACTATTATCACCATATTGATAGTGATAATATACACCAAAACAATTGACCAATTTGTATGTTGTAAAAGACTTCATTAAATCTTTACATACAATTTAATTTTTAATTTTAACATAAACTCTATGAACGTCAAGAACTGTGAAGAGTCTGAGATCTTGCTCCACTTGCAAGCTAATAAGTTAGACTTTTACAGTTTCATGCATACTGGCCGTAAACATGAGACTTTTGGCTCAGAGACAAAAGACAGTGCATTAGTCAAAGCAATTGCAGTTGCCAGAGTAACATCATTTGTGCCAGCTCCTTGAGCCCCCGTTCCCAAAGGGCAGTGCAACAAGGGCTAGGTGACATCTGCACACTCAGTGGGTTTTATTACAGAAGAACCTCAAGTTTAAGAAACAACAAACTTTTATAAGGAAGCTTCTGGTAAACCTGTCCAACCTTTGCCCCAGAGGGAGACATCTTTATTATCCTGAGCAGCAAACAAATCTTCCTTCTGCCCCAGAGAAAGACAGTATTTTTTAACTTCCAATGCTGTTTGCTATACAAACATTCTTAAAAAGATAATCCAGAACGAAAGCTGCCAGTGCTTTTGCTCAAAAGATGCGCAGAAATATGAGAGACCTGTGGAGAATTATCTCCCAAGATGAGATAGGGAAACTTAAGCCCTATTTTATGGATGAGGAAACCATGTTTTGGAAAATTTAAGAATCATGTCTCATATCAAACAGCTTCTAAGTAGCAATGCCATAATGTGACCTCATGTGCTGTAACTCTCTGGGCCTTTTCACTTATTCATGCTGCTTCTTCCATCTCTACTACTCATTGCTAATAAATTGCTTGTTGCCTGGCCCTAGTCTCCTTCTCAAAATTATATAATACACATTTCTGAGTCAGAAATTGTTTCTAATTTAGCTGAAGACTCAATCATCAAGAACTTACTGCTTTTGATTGTTTTGAGTCATTTCTAAGTGTCAGTGTTGTTTCTTAAACAAATGAGTAAGATCGCCTCATGTAGCCAACCTAAACAGAGACCTAAATAAACCATCTCATGTCTGTGTAACAATAAAGAATTCTGCCTTTGTTGTTAAAAGTACACTGATTTCCTTGAAATATATTTTTTAAAGGCAGACATTTGATTTTATTCCAATTAGAACTGAAGCTTACAAGTGTTAATCTACCGATGTCATAAGACCCAGGGTTCACACTGGGGAGGAATTTTTGACACATGTATTTGTAGTAATTCTTCATGTAAAATATAACAGAGTGTTTTTGGAGAGAAAAATGTGCCTGGATTACTTCAGCAACATAATTGACTGTTTTTATGTGTGTCATGGCATTTCTTAAAACTTTGGCTGGGATTGTGGCATTTCACATCACAGAAAAGGAAATAAGGCTGTATTGTAGTTTGCTTACATCAGTACCTAGAAAAAAAAAATTCAATTTCAAAGGAGCAAGAGTTTTCCTTTTGGAAACCAGGGGTCTGGGTAGCATTTTCATTTCCTGTCTCTTTGACTTGCAGTGCTCCCTTTCAAAAAGTTCTGAATACAGAAAGCAGAACTTGCCTCCAGCACAAACCAGAGCCTACTTTTATTATTGTTGTTGTTTCAGGGCTCCTGGATCTCATGCTGAACCTTAAAATCCTATTCGCAGCTCAGCTGCCAGCAAGCTGTGAATGGAGCAGTGAAAGGTGGAAGAAATAAGAGGCTTCACCATGCAATCAGTAGTTCCCTACTGAAACCATATGTCATGCATAGAATCCAGGAGACTTGAAAAGTCTTGAAAAACTGAAATGCCACTAGTGCACCTAATAAGACTTAGTGATGGGCAAGCGCCTGTCAGAGGGGTTAGAAAAATAGAAATAAGCAAAAGAACAACTGTCATTGGCTAAGAAAATTGACAAAGACAATTATCCTCTATGGATTTAATCATTAAGTGACTGTAACTTGTATCTGTAAAATGACTCTTGGCCCTATTACCTCCTTAGTGCTTTGTGCTAAATTGGCAAACACTGTTTCTAATAATATAGCTCCATGTCATGGTAACAATCAAATAATTTTCATAATCACGAGAGTGAAATGTTTTCTCTCTGACCAACCATGATTTTTGAAAGGTAAAAATATGGTGGTTAAGCACAAAATGTTTGGAACAAGAGAGCCAGGATTAAATCCACACCCGAATTCTTCCAGATGGAAAATATTTTTTTTATCTCTCTGAGCCACAATTTCTCATCTATAAAATGAGAATGATGATGGTTACTTCTAGTTTTGTCATAATTAAGAAAAAAGTATGTTCAGCATTATATAAGGTCAGGCACACAGAAACATTCAATAAAAAATGTTATTAATAATTATAGGAGAAGCAAAACTATTTTTTAAATGTTACATTTGAAGATTTCCTCAATGGAATGAAAAACTAATATATTTAAGCTACTTATACTCAGTATATTTTGTTAATTAAGATATCAGAACTTATTCAGTCGTATTTTGTACATGATAGAGACATAACATATTTCTTACTCTCATCTAAAGACAAATTAGTGTGAATTTGAATGGACTTTTAGAAGTTTGTACCTACTTGTAGCCCTAGAATTTATCTTTATTTTACTTTTTAGGGAACCTTTAAAATGTGTGGCATATACAAAATTATTTTTATAAATTCTATATTTTGAAAACAATGGTTATGATATCCTGATGTAAAGTGATAAATTATCTTTTATCTTCATGAATGATATAATTTTTAAAAATCTAATTTGATTTCATATTACAGATAAGATTGAAAATACAATCAAAATATGTAATCTTAGTTAAAATATTAATCTTAATGTCTTTGAATTGTAACTGCTTATGTTTGCCAACATTTATATACATTCATAAATGTAAAAAGTTCACTCACACCTATATTTTACAGAAATTTATATAAAACAGACAGGTATTCAAAATACACACCTACATATATATTTGGATTTTTGTGAAACTGAGACTACACTTCAGGCAATTTAAACCTGTAATTGAATTGTGTATGAAAGAGTTATTTTGGAAAATCTATTATTGGGATTTTAGAACTCATTTTCTCTTTGAAATAGTGCTATGAATTGTGGTGAAACTCCCTGATCAGCTCTGAAGGGTCTTTTAACTTATTATGTTTTAAAAATATTGTGTTAGCCGAACCATTCTGAATATATCTGACCACTGTATGCCAATTTTTGATAGGGAAATACTTCTCAATTCCCTGTTTTAGACATGAAAACATATTCTTTTTTTCCTGTCTTTTGTCTGTGGCTGTGGTTCCTATGGTTGGAAATCACTGGAGGCTGAGGTGAATTATTATATTATAATCATGTCCTATATATCCTATATATTTTATACATTATATTAGAAATGTTATCTAATATTATATTTTTTAAGTCTGTGTATTTATATAGTCATACATTGCTTCATGACAGGGTTTTTTTATAACTGCATCATTAGGTGATTTTTTAGTTGTGTGAACATCATAGAGTGTGCTTCCACCAACCTAGATGGTGCAGCCTACTACACACCTAGGCTATATGGTACAGCCTATTGCTCCTAAGCTACAAACCTGTACAGCATGTTACTATACTGAATATTGTAGGCAATTGTGACACATGGTACATATTTGTGTATCTAAACAGAAAAGATGCCATAAAAGTATGGTATAAAAGACAAAAAATGGTACACCTGTATCTGTCCCTCACCATGAATGGAGCTGGCAGGACAGGAGTTGCTCTGGATGAGTCATTCAGTGTGAGACGAGTGAATATAAAGGCCTAAAATATTACTTTGTACTACTGCGGACTTTATAAACACCATACACTTAGGCTTCACTAAATTTATTAAAAGTTCTTTTTTCTTTAATAATTAATTGACCTTAGCCTACTGTAGCTTTTGTACTTAAAGTTTTAAGTTTTTTTTCACGTTTTGACTCTTTTGTAATAAATACGAGATTAAAACACTACTGCATTGTATAGATGTACAAAAATATTTTCTTTCCTTGTACCTCATTCTATATGCTTTTTTCTATTTTTAACATTTTTCACTTTTTAAACTTTTTTGTTAAAAACTAAGACACAAACACACACATTAGCCTAGGCCTCCACAGGGTCAGGTTCATCAGTATCATCCATATCCCTGTCTTCTACCTCAACATCTTGTCCTGCTGGAAGGTCTTCAGGGGCAAGCACGCACGGAGCTGTTATCTTCTACGATAACAATGCCTTCTTCTGGAATTCTTCCTGAAGAACTTGCCTGTGGTTATTTTACAGGTAACTTTCTTTTTGTTTAATAACAAGTATAGTATAGTAAATACATAAACCAGTAACATATTAATTTTTTGTCATTATCAAGTATTATGTATTGCAGTTGCCCCCAACCTTTTCGGCACCAGGGAATGGTTTTGTGGAAGCCACTTTTTTCCACGGACTGGGGTTGGGGAGATGGTTTTGAAATGAGTTAAGTGCATTGGATTTATTGTGCACTTCATTTGTATTATTTTTAAATTGTAACATATAATGAAATAATTATACAACTCACCATAATGTAGAATCAGTGGGAGCCCTGTGCTTGTTTTCCTGCAACTAGATAGTCCTATCTGGGAGTGATGGGAGACAGTTGCAGATGATCAGGCATTAGATTCTCATAAGGAGTGCACAACCTAGATCCCTCCCATGCACAGTTCACAGTACAGTTCACACTTCTATGAGAATCTAGTGCTGCCACGGATCTGAAAGGAGGTGGGGCTCAGGCAGTAATGAGAGCTACGGGGAGCGGCTAAAAATACAGATGAAACTTTGCTCACTTGCCTGCTGCTGACCTCCTGCTGTGTGGCCACAGACTATTCCATCTAAGTTAACCTTCAAAGCTTCATAGACAGCCATTATTTCTTCCAGTCATTGATAAGAATGCAACAAAGATTCATGAAACACAATCACATCAAACCACATCCAAGTCCTTCATACATGTAGATGCTTGGTGCCACAAAGGAATGATGTAAGTATTATGTTGTTTCAAGAAAAATTTGATTCAGCATTCTATTCTATCCTTGTGCATAAGATGGCAAAGTGTGGCCTGAATAAGAGATCTGTGATGTGGATTCACAGAAGTGTGAACAGCCAGGTTTATTAAGTGATGATAAGTGGCCCAGTTTCTGCCTGAATATAAGTGCTACCTGCAGTATTGTGCCATCTCCCAGTACTTGTCAAGAGTTGTATCAATAAGTTGAGTGAAACACACAGTACCAAATTTACAGATAAAAAAAAAAGTTCGAAAAGATCTCTGACAAAATTCACATTCCAAACTACCTTGGAAATAAATTAAAAAAAAAAACATTGAATTTTAGCTAGAATAATTATAAATTTTCTCACTGAAAATTTAGTAAACAGCTTTTACAAGTTATAAATTAGGAGTAATCCCACTTTCTGGCATTACAGGTGAAAAACAATCTAATGATTTTAGTTGATCAATCAATATGTGATGAATATCATTCCAGACTGGGCTGCACCTTTCTCTTCCATGCCTACAGCATCCTCGGTGTGTGTCCTTAGGAGCCACTCCCTGGTCCATTAGACCATAAGCCACTTGAGGAAAAGACTGTGTTTTATTTATTTTTGTAACCACATTACTTAGTCCACCCATTACATGATAGGTTCTCAGTGGATTCTTGTAATGAATGAATCAGGATTTATGAGGTGGCTAATAAAATACTAAGTACATTCTTAGGCCACTTTAATATTTAATAAAAAATTTAGCTTTGAATAAAACATTTTAACATAGAATTCACCAAATATGCATTTAAGGTATTAAGGTATTAAGATCAGGATGGCAAAAGGGTTAAAATTATATTTTACGAGAAGGAAAAAAATAAAGAGAAAGATGCTGATAAAAAGAAAAACGTTCTCAGATATTTTAAGGATTCTTTTGCAGAGTAGATAGACAGATTTATGTTGTCTACAGAGGCCAGACTAGTGTATTGTGAGCACATGAGTGATCTACTGCAGCCTCATGTGGGAATTCTGAGTGATGCAATGGTGTAAAAATAAAACGTACCGCCTCAGAGGTAGTCAATTCTTGTTTATTAGAAGTATTTAAGTGGATGACATTTGTCAGGATGCAGCTCAGGGAATTTCTCAGTGTGTACAGATTGCAAACACTTTTTCAGCTCTATGCTACCTGTTTTTTTGTTTGCAGTAGCTCTCAGCAAGAACCATGTCTTCTTCAAGATGTTAGATGTTCAATGAATGCTGGTTGAATAAAAAAAGAGAGTGCCCTCAGGAATAACTTCCTGTAAGCAAAAGGATTTCAATTTGATGGATTTCTTTCTCCTTCTTTTTCTGCTTGTGCTTCTCTTCACCTCCTCTTCCACCTTCTTTTGCTTCCCCTTTGTTGTTTTGGTGGTGGTGGTTGTGGCAGTGGCGCTGCTGCTCCTGCTCCTGCTCCTGCTGCTGCAGCTCTTTCCACCCCTGCTTCTTTTTCTCCTTCCTCTTCCCCCTCCTTCCTCTTCCTCCTCCTTCTCTTCCCCTTCCCCTTCTTCTTCTTGTAAAAGATCAGCTCAGATGAGAAATAATACCTAATGTTTTCTTTTAGGCAGATAGTTTTAAATATTAGTTCCATTAGATCATGTTCTACATTATTTTTCTATCAGTACGATATCTTGAGAGACAAACTATCTAGTCAAAATGTTCAATCCATCAAAGCCTCCAGGTTGCAAGTGTTGGTATTTCTAAGGGAAGAAATAAGACCATTTGGAGATAGTCATGCAAGCCTATAACACCTCAGGTATTACAGGAAATATTCACAACAAAAGAACAAAGAATAGCTGATTATAAAATATAATGTGCATTCTTGAAATACATTAAAATATTAATAATGAAATTATGAGAATATTGCACTCTGTGTGAATAAAAGCACCAGATCTGATTTTCCTGATTCATCCATATGGTTGAGAAATAATGAAATAAACTACTTTTTACTTCTTTCGAAACTGTATGATTCAAGATGATGTGTCGCTGTGTTGCCTAGTAAGACAACAAATAACCACATATGATTATTGAGTGTTTGGAATGTGTCTATCCTCAGTTGTGATGCATTCTTAGTGTAAAATACACACAGAGTTTTAAAGAAAGACTTAGTGTTAAGAAAGGAATATAAAATATCGCCTTACTACTTTAATATATTAATGATATGTTGAAATGATAATATTTGCAATCCGTTGGGTTAAAGAAAATATATTATAAAAATTATTTTTACTTGTTTCTTTTCACTTTCTTTAATATAGCTACAAAAAAGCTTAAAATTAAAGATGTGGCTTACATTGTATTTCTTTTGGGTTATCCTGCTTTATAATGAAGTGAAATAAAACTTTCACAGAATCTTAGTTTTGAAACTGGATGGAACTTAGTTTGATCATCCATAAAATAA